>NC_000004.12:95891077-96194108 GCF_000001405.40 Homo sapiens | reverse complement strand
GTTGCTTCTCAATTTTAATAAGGTAATGCTAAACTTTCCAGTAATTTATGTGGTAACCACATAGACTCTTTATTTTCCAAAATCTTACTAGGAAGTACCTCTGTATGGATTGTATATAACTTAGCCATACAGCAAGCACTTAAAAAAGTGTACTATAAAATTTTAATTATAATAATAAATTAAATAATAATGCTACATGGTAACTATTGCTTATCAAAAACTGAGCACTGTATGTATAATATAAACATAAAATCATATTTAATTCTAATAATAATATTATAAAGGCTAGTAGTAATAAATAGCATTTATCAAACTCTTACAGACCAGAGCTGTTTTTTAAAATATTAACTTATTTAATTTTTAACAAATTAACATTTAGTATTAAGTTGGCACCCTTCATCTTGTAAAATGAGGAAGCTTAAGCTTAGAAAGGTTATGGCCATTGCACTGGACCACATTCATTGTCAACAGTAAAAGTTAGTACATGCAATATCCATACCTGAAGCAACTGTCTAATTTTTGGAAACCCCATTCATACTCCTACCTGCAATAGTCAAAGTGGTGATATCAATCACCTCATCATGTCTCAGCCTTGGTATCAAAGCAGGACATTCCAGTGTCTGGACATCTTTGTCCTTACTGAATGCGAACCTTCCTGGGCACAAGGATAGAAAATGCTAAAGAAACATGACTAGACTACAAGTTAATTTAGTGATTTGTTTAGTGAGGAGGCCACGAAGGCATATCAGTCTCTCTCTGAAGAAGCAGAAGATAATTGGCAACAGTCCAGTCTGTGTTCAGGCTTATGTCTTTCACAGTTTTCCCTTCACTTCACTTCATTGCTTTTATTGTAGTGAAGGTCTATTCATGACTCAAGCATCCTTCCCAAGGTTGTTATATAAAACATGTCAGAGACAGGGGTGGCACTTATCAGCATTAATGACTGGCTTGTTTTTTTGATGATGTAAGTAGAGTTAGAAAAAATGGAACATCTGCTTGTGAATTTTCCTTGCAAAACTAAATACTATTAACTTTCTTATAAGTCTTCTTTTAGTATGGTGGTGTGGTTATAAATATGGATTTTTAACTAAAAAAAAAGTGTATTCATGAATTCTGGCTCCATTAATTATTAGCTATATGACCTTGGGAAGTTTAGTTCACCTATTCCTGTGTCAGTTTCTTCATCTGTAACAAGAAGAAGTAATACTACTTATAAAATTTCTGTGATGATTAAATGAGTGAAATATGTAACGTATTTATAGCTGTGCTTAGCACATGCAAAATGCTTATAAATATTAGCTAAATAATAATAATGTGATTATTAATTCAGAGAAGCTTTCTCATTAGAAACTACTGATTTATGAAATTTTTAGTTTGAGAGTCTATATTTATATCTTCGTTAAAGTTGAGCTATTATTTGCTGTATGGAAGTCAAATGTCCTGTGGACCAAACAAGAACAATTTGACTGGGCAACAGTGCTGATACTTTAAAAGGTGGTTTCAGTAAGTTGGCAGGTTGACCTACTCAGACACATTGAGTTGGTCAAAGTTAACCAGAGTTCAAGAACTGATGACAGAAAGTATCAATTGCTGTTTCAAAAAAATGTATTTTTTTACTGAAGAGAAAAAAAGAAAATAAACAGGTAGCCTGAGGAAGAGGTAGCGTTGGAGGCATCTAATTTTATGATATGGTAAGTACAGAGGAAAAAATAACTTTACAGGAAAGAAAGTAAAAAGAAAAAGGACTTGGCTGCATTTTTAAATGGAGAGGAAGAAATAATGTAAAGGCAAAGATTTAGAACAAAGCAAAGGAAAAGGAAAAGGCAAATAAGTCTCCACATCTGAAATGGGATGAAAGCAATACTTAAATAGGTGTTAGGAAAACTAAATAAGATACTGGGATCATTAAAAATAAAGTTTTAAGCACAGGGTCTAAAACATATCAAACATTTAAAAAATATCAACTAGTGCTAATTTTATGATTAATGAAGATTCCAAGAGAGAATTGGTGAAATAAGGCATGACAGTGGTGGAAAAGAAGAGTTTATTACTTTTTTACTCATTCAGTGAGGACAGCATTAACCAACACCAAAATCAGAGAGACATTACAAAAAAAAAAACCCACAAAAAACTACAAGCCAATATGTCTCATAAACAAAGATGCAAAAATCCTCAACAAAATATTAAATGAATCCAGCAATATATAAAAAAGAACTGTCCACCACAACCAAATGGGATTTATCCCAGGTATGCACAGCTGGTTAAACATTCAAAAATCAATTAATGTAATCCATTACATTAATAGGTTAAAGAAGAAAAATCACATGATAACATCAATAGATGCAGAAAAAGCATTCAAAAAATCCATCACCCATTCATGACAAAAATTCTCATTAAACTAGGAATAAGAATAGAAGGGAACCTGCTCAGAAGATACCAACAAAAAACTTAGAGCTAACATCATAAATGTTAAGAAACTTGAAGCTTTTCCACCGAGAACAAAAACAATACTTTGTTGAGAATTTTTGTATTGATGTTCATCTAATATATTTGCAAAAGTTTTCTTTTTGTTGTTGTTGTTTCTCTGTCAGGTTTTGATATCAGAATGATGCAGGCCTCATAGAATGAGTTAGAGAGGAGTCTCCCCGCCTCAATTTTTTGGAATAGTTTCACTAGGAATGGTATCAGCTCTTCTTTGTACAGCTGGTAGAATTCAGCTGTGTATCCATCTAGTCATGGGCTTTTTTTGTTGGTAGGTGATTGATTACTGCCTCAATTTCGGAGCTCATTACTGGTCTGTTCAGGGTTCAATTTCTACCTGGTTCAGTCTTGGGAATGAGTATTTGCCCTGGAATTTATCCATTTCTTCTAGATTTTCTAGTTTATGTGCATAGAAATGTTAATAATATTATTTGATGGTTGTTTTATTTCTGTGAAGTCAGTGGTAATATTCCCCTTGTCATTTCTGATTGTGTTTATTTGAATCTTATCTCTTTTCTTTCTTATTATTCACACTAGATATCTATTTTATTATTTTTTTCAAAAGATTAGCTCCTGAATTCACTGATCTAATGATGTTTTGTGTCTCTGTCTCCTTCAGTTTACCTCTGATTTTTAGTTATCGTTTTCTGCTAGTTTAGGGATTTGTTTGCTCTTGATTCTCTACTTCTTTAGCTGTGATGTTATGTTATTAACTTGAGATATTTCTACATTTTTGATGTGGGCATTTAGTGCATTAAATTTCCCTCTTAACAACACTGTCTTATCTGTGTGTGAGATTCTGGTATATCTTTGTTCTCACTAGTTTCAAATAACTTCTTGATTTCTGCCTTAATTTCATTATTTACCCAAAAGTCATTTAGAAGCAGGTTATTCAGTTTCTATGTAATTGTATGGTTTTGAGTGAATTTCTTAATCTTGTTTTTTTGTTTTTGTTTTTGTTTTTGTTTTTGAGACAGAATCTCACTCTGTCACCCAGGCTGGAGTGCAGTGGCACGATCTCTGCTCACTGCAACCTCTGCCTCCTGGGTTCAAGCGATTCTCCTGCCTCAGCCTCCCAAGTCCCTGGGACTACAGGTGCCCACCACCACGCTCGGCTAATTCTTGTATTTTTAATAGAGACGGGGTTTCACCATATTGGCCGGGCTGGTCTTGAACTCCCGACCTCAGGTGATCTGCCCGCCTTGGCCTCCCAAAGTGCTGGGATTACAGGCATGAGCCACCATGCTCGGCTGGCTACTATTACAAAGTAAAAGAAAATAGCCAATGCTGGCAAGGTTGCAGAGAAAGAGGAACACTTAGGAACACTTATACATTGTTGGGGGGAATGTAAATTAGTTCATTCTGTGGAAGACAGTGTGGTGATTCCTCAAAGATCTAGAGGCAGAAATACCATTCTACCTAGCAATCCCATTACTGTGTATATACCCAAAGAAATATAAATCGTTCTATTATAAAGACACATGCATGCATGTGTATATTCACTGCAGCTAAATGATGAGAACAGATGGACATATAGCAGGGAACAACACACAGTGGAGCCTATCAGAGGGTGGATGGTGGGAGGAGGGAGAAGTTCAGGAAAAAATAACTAATGAGTACTGGGCTTTATACCTGATGATGAAATAATCTGTACAAAAAATCCCCATGACACAAGTTTACCTATATAACAAGCCTGCACATGTACCTCTGAACTTAAAAGTTAACAGCAACAAAAAGACAAAAGACCTCTCATCAATGGTTTTTAACTTGGTACTGGAACTCCTAGCTAATGCAATAGATAAGAAAAAGAGATAAAAGGTGCACAGATTGGAAAAGAAGAAATAAAACTGTGTTTGCAGACTAATGTCCTATGTAGAACATTTGAAAGAACTGACAAAAAAAACTTCCGGAACTAATGGGCTATTATAGCAAGGTTTAAGTATGCAATGTTAATATACAAAAGTCAATTGCTTTTCTATATTCTATCAATGAATAAGTGGAATTTGAAATTAAAAAGCACAATATGATTTACATTAGCATTCAAGAAAATTAATTAAGTATAAACTAACAAAATATGTTCAAGACACATATGAGAAAGATTACAAAATTCTGCAAAAAAATCGAAGACTGAATGGAGAGGTGCTCCATGTTCATGTATAGGAAGACTCGATATTGTCAAGATGTCAGCTCTTCTCAACTTGGTCTACAGATTTAATGCAATCTCAATCAAAATCCCAGAAAGTTATTTTGTGGATACTGACAAAATGATTCTAAAGTTTATATGAAGAGACAAAAGACCCAGAATAGCCAACACAATGTTGAAGAAGAAGAACAAATGTAGAGAATTAATACTGCCACACTTCAAGACTTAGGAGAAAGCTACAATTATTAAGTGATATTTGTGGAAGAATAGACAAAAAGATCAATGGAAAAAAATAGAGCCCAGAAATAGATCCGCATAAATATAGTTAACTGATCTTTTACAAAGGAGCAAAGGCAATAAAATAAAGCAAAGACAGTCTTTTCAAAAAATTGTCTTGGAACCAACTGAACAATCCACCTGCAAAAATATGAATAAAGACACATGCTTTATATTCTTCCAAAAATTAACTCATAATGGCTAGGCATGGTGACTCCCACCTGTAATACCAGCACTTTGGGAGGCCAAGGCAGGAGGACTGCTGGAGCCCAGGAGTTTGAGACGAGCCTGCATAATATAGTGAGACCCCATCTGTAGAAGAAATCTTAAAAATTAGCCAAGCATGGTGGTGTGAACCTGTACTTCCAGCTATTCAGGAGGCTGAGGTGGGAGGCTTGCTTGTGCTTAGGAGGCAGAGGTTGCAGTGAGCCAAGATGGCATCACTATACTCCAACCTGGGTGACAGGGTGAGACCCTCTCCAAAAAAAAAAAAAAAAAAAAAAAAAAAACAACCTCACAATGGATCATATACCTAAATGTAAAATACAAAACTCCAAAATTTCAAAATTCCTAAAGATAAACATGGGAGAACATCTAAACATGGGAGAACATCTAGATAACCTTGGGTTTGATAATGACTTTTTGAATTAACACCAGAGAAAAATCCATGAAAGAAAAAAGATTGATAATCTGGACTTCATTAAAATGAAAAACTTACTGTCAAAAAAATTTTCAAGAAAATAAAAAGAGAAGCCACAGACTGCAGGAAATATTTGCAAAAGACATATCTGAATAAGGACTATTATCAAAATATACAAAGAACTCTAAAAAAATCAACAAGAAGACAGCCTGGTTAAAAAATATGAGGCAAAGACTTGAACAAACAGTTCACAAATATGTACAGATGGCGAAAAGCATACAAAAAGATATTCCATATTCTATGTCGTCAGGCAAATGTAAATTAAAACAACAATGAAATACTACTACAGACTTATTAGAACGCCAAAATCCAAAACACTAACAACACTAAATGCTGTTGAGGATGTGGAGCGAGAGGAACTCTCATTCATAACTTACAGGAAGCCACTTTGGAAGACAGTTTAGCATCTCCTTATATGTGATCCAGCAATCACACTCCTTGGTATTTACTCAAAGGAGCTGAAAATGTATGCCCACACAAAAACATGCATATCGATGTTCATAGAGGCTTTATTAATAATTTCCAAAACTTGGAAGTAACCAAGATGTCCTTCAGTAGGCGTTTAGATAAATTGTGATATTTCCAGATAATGAAATATTACTCAGCACTGAAAAGAAATGAGCTATTAAGCCATGAAAGGACATTGAGAAAAAGTAAATGCATATTACTAAGTAAAAGAAGCTAGTCTGAAAAGGCTACATACTGTATGATTCCAACTATATGACATTCTAAATAAAGGTAAACCTATGGAGATGGTAAAATCAGTGGTTGCCAGGGGTTGGAGGTAGGACAAAGGGAGAAAAGGTAGAGCACAGAGGATTTTTAGGACAGTGAAACAACTGCTTTGATACTACTATAAAGCTATTCTGATACTCTGATACTGTAAATAAATGTCATTATACCTTTGTCCAGTATAAATCAGTACCTTAGAAAGTAAAACACAAAGAGTGAACCATAGTGCAAAGAATGAACTTTGGGTGATAACAATATGTCAATATAGGTTTATCAAATGTAACAAATGCATCACACTGGAGGGGAATGTTAATAATGGGCAAGGTTTGGCATGTGTAGGGGCAGAGGATTTATGGAAAGTCTCAGTATCTTCTGCTGAATTTTGCTGAGAAATCAAGACTTCTCTAAAACATAAGGTCTATTTTTAACAAAGGATACAACTATATAGATTGATATTCTTTTTTATTTTTCAAAAAGAGAAAGATGTGTCAGGTAAGTAAAGAACCTACAGCTGGGGGCCATTATAGGTAACTTGGGGATAAGGTAATTTGGAGAAGTTCACTACAGTTGAAAGGTCTATAAGTACTCAGTAATGAAGGCATAATTTGGGTGGTTGAGAGCTAAAACCACGTTCTCTGGTTTTCTCTTACTCTTCCATTTGTTAAACAAGCTTCCTGTGCCTCAACTTAAACAACTCCTATATCTTTTCTTTGTTTGAGGGGAGACATAAAAATATCAGATTTTAGAGTAGCTTGTTAAATCTGGTTTAGGATGAAGTAACTTTTATTTTACTTTGAGATACATTTTTAGATTATCTTAAATTCAGATACAAGATATGTTATGCTTCTCATTTTCAGAAATTGCTCTTACTCATGTACTGAGTAACCACAACTCCCTTATCTTAAATTTTGAATCTTCAGTTTGTGTTAGCAACCTTTCACACACGTCTTGGCTGAAGTGTTAATCTTGTATTGAACTCCGGGTTGGTTAATGTGCTTTTCTCATCATGTTACCTTCACACTCTGCTCCAATTTACAAATCTCACCAGTGTAGGCAATTTTGCTATCTTTTCACAAGATGACAGAATTCTTGGTTCAATAATGAAGTGTGAAAAACTTGCCACTAAAATAATAAATGTGATACATCATATCAGAAGCTTTATTTTTGAATTCACTAATGTATTTTTGAGTTGTTGGAAGCAAATGAACAGTTTTGTGCATTCCTCACATTTTCAAACTACATTAAAAAACAAGAAACACAACTGGACTGGATGTGTATTTAATAATTGATATGCATCACAATCACATTGGCTTTCTTCACTGTAAAGGGATAATTATAATTAGAATAAATATGGTAAACCATTTAATGAATGTAGATTGGACAGATATTTAAATATTTTGGAAAAATAAAATTCTATGGTAGTCATATTAAATCTTTAAGTATTTTTTATTCCTACATACCAAATACAGAATTTTTCCTAAAAATCTATAGAGCAATAAACACTACTGGTGTTATATAAGCTCTGACATTATTAAAAATAAAAGCCCAATGGACCTATATCTTTAATAGGACCTAGTCTTTTGTTCTATAAAAGAGGAGAGGGTTGGTCAAAGCATACAAATTTCAGTTATGGAGGAGTAACAGATTTAAATTATAGAGGAGTAATAAGTTCAAGAGATCTATTGTAGGGCCTAATGACTACAGTAACAATGTGTTGTATTCTAGAACATTGATAAGAAATTTTCTGTTCTTGCCACCAAAAAATAAGTATGTGAAGCAATGTACATGTTAATGAACTCAATTTAGCCATTCCATAATGTATATATACATAGCAAAACAACAGGTTGTACATAATATATATAATTGTCATTTGTCAATTTAAAAATCATATTTTTTTTTAAAAAAAGGAGAAAACAAATTCATTCTGAAAGGCTGTGGGTGAGAGAAGCAGAAGTGGGTTTACCATAAAGCTAAAGGAGCTTAAGCTTCAGAGACCCTGACTTCCTGGACGTCTGAGAGTTGTGATTATTTGTGAAATGTTCTCAGTGTGGAAGAGAAATCAAGTTGCAATCAGGATACTTTCTTACGAAAGCATTTCTGATACATTTTCTTAAAAACCTTGGAAAGAAAAATGAACCTGGATCTACAAGCCTCCTTTGTTGTGATTTCCTTTTTCATTTTAAATAAATATACATTTTCTACCCAATTATGCATTTGCTTTTTTTTTCCTTTATGGGGAGCATCAAACAATCTGCAAGCTTCAGACTCCCACCAAAACATGAACCTTGCCCTTGAAATACACATAATACTGTAAGAGATAGCATTGGTAGTGCTCTATGCTTTGGGAAGCATCAACTTCTACAGGTGCATTCTTGGGTTGGTTGTGTGCATACAGAAATGTTTTCCATGGAAACACTGCAAATAGGGGTTATATTTTTAGCACAGGCTACTGAAGTGTTGAACCCATAAATAACCAGAATTATAATTTTGGGAGGCTAGGTACCACTGGGGAGTTGGTAGGCACAGAAAGAGGAGACACAAGAGGAGAGAAAGAAGGAGGATAGGGGAAAGGCAGACGACTGGAAAGGAAGAGAGGACAAAGAAGAGGAGGGAATGAGACAGAGGAAATGGAAGGAGATTAAGGGAAGAAAGGAGTGGAGAGAAAAGAAGAAGTGTGAGGGAGAGACAGACAGGAAGTAAAGGAAGCACTCTCTCTACTCCTTACTTCAGGATAAATTTTAGGTTCGATTTTGAAGTATGAAGAATTTGTTTTTAAAAATCCTCTCCCCACCCCTACCCTTACCTCCTGCTTTTTTCTTGTTCCCCAACTCACATATAAGCAAGTCCCAACACAATGACCATGGCCAGTCCCATTATCTTTGTCTATGAGAGAGGGGTAAATGAACTTAAAAACTAAATTTTAGTTTAGTTCTTTCAGACAAAACCACATGCTGAAGAGAGAGCCAAGTTGCTGGTTTCTTTTGATAGTATTAGCTGTGCACCAGTGTGGAGTAGCAAGGGATATTATGCTGTTTAAACTTCTTACCACAAAGAAAGAGAACAGTAACGAATCTCCATGAATTTTCAGTTCATATATCTTTTACCAGTTCATATTATATCATAACTTTATTTTTCTAAATGATTATTTTCTTATGAATTATTTTCTCTTTTATTACTAAAAAATGATTCACGTTTAACTATTGTCTCATTGCTTTGTCAATTGAAAAAAAAATCTACCTATGTATTTCCAAACATCATTGAACCATTCAATCTCAGCTGCTTCCATACCCAACTGGGGACCATGTAATAGACCAAAGGAAGTATATTCTGGTAACAAGCAGCAGGAGATGTGATATCCTTTGTTCATAAAGTGCAAGTGTAGCAAGCTGAATTTTCCTCACTTTCCATTTTCTTAGTTAAGTTGTCATCAGATTAGAGACAAAGTGAAAATACTTAGTAAGATTTAATGAAATTAAACCTAATAGGAGCTTCGTTTAATTATCTAAGAGCAGAGAGAGTCGGCCAGAGATTGGTGCTGAGAAAATGATGGATCCGGTGAAAGCACTTTAATCCAGCCTTAACCTACCAGCTATAGTTTTCTTGTGCGTACATATTAATTGTACAGGGGAAATTTTATGTATCATTTAGATGGATCCTTTATAATTCAAGCTTTCTTTACATGGAGTATTAAATGTATGCTTAGTTTTTCCAGTAACACTTGGGGAAATGCCTTGTAAATGGGTGTATAAATTTGCTTAATTAATCAAACAAAAGGAAAAGCTTTTAGAGAGCAGAATCATGACGGGAACTTAAAAAAAGGAAATTAAAAAGATAAAGCTTATTACTGCCTGGTAATTTTAATTCATGCTGTAAATAAAATAGGTTTAAAAGCAAAGCCAGTGTAAATATGCCTCTACAGCAGGTTCTCCAGTACAGTTGGCAGTGGCCCAAGAATTACCAATAGGTTCTAAGTCAATATTATTTTTTGAGTGCCCTTAGACTGCTGAATTTATTGAGCAGTTTATTTGTAGTGAAGACGTTCTCTAGGTAACCTTGCCTATTCTCCACATGTGATCTCTAAGCCACCAGCTAGGTGCAAGAGTTGAATTCTGATGAACGAGGCTTTTCATGTTGATCTTTGGCACTATACTACTCTACAGTTAAAACCAACTGTAAAAATCACAGTCATTTGAGAGGCTGTTGTAAATTATGCTTACAAACATAAATTTTGAACTTATTTCTCTATTTCCACGAAATTTCGTTAAACATTTAGCAAAATGAACTTTAAGTCATCAGCCTACGGCAAATAAAGCAAGTGAACCTCCGGTTCTGGTGGTTTATAATGGTGCTCTAACTTCTTGTCTTAAAAGTATGGTATGTGGGCAACGACATGTACATTATTTGGGGCCTTCTTACAAATGCAGAAGCTTGGGCCTTGCCCCAGAACTACTGAATCAGAACTTACATTTTAATAATCTTGGGTTTGAGAACCACTGTTACAACCAGTGTAGCTTTGCCAAGACAGAAAGTGCTCCTTTCTATTCCCTAGGGGATTTGTGTTTCTATTTGTGCTGGCACACTAACTATTGATTCATAATTTTGTATCAGTATATGTGCCGCTTTTTTTTCATTTTTAGGTTATATTTCTCTTTCCTTCTAATGGCTTATGATAATTTAAAATAATTCAGAAGAGGCAAATGAGTTGAAAAGTTATGTGAGTCATAAGAATAAATAATTCTACTCTAAGTATTTCTCACTTTAGATAAAGTATAAGCTCAAATATTATTCAAGCTCTAAGATTACAGGCAGAATCAACCACTTAACACTTTTTTGCAAATTGTTCTCTTCCATTTAAGAAAAAGAACGCATTTTCAAGTTTCTCCATAGGTTACAATTTACAAGCTATTTTTCTGTAGAAAATGATTTTGTTCTTACTATGTACAACACTTTGATTCAGTGATTTAATTATTTGCCATTACAATGTTAATCCAGGCATTTGTCATAATAATTGTAAAAACAAAAATTTGTGATACAGTATAAACAGCTAACATTTATTGAGGACCTTTCATATGCCAGGAATTCTTCTAAATATTTTCTTAATATGAACTCATTTAATCTAATTAATAAACCCTGTGAAATAAGGACTATTTCACACAGTTTTACATGTGTGAAAACTGAAGCACAGAAATGTTAAGTGACTTGCCCCAAGTCACACAGTAAGCTTATAACGAAGTTGAAATACAAACTTAATCTGTTTTCAAAGACTACACTGTTAACCAAAAACTGACACAGCCTAAACAGCCTAAATGCCCAATAACAGGGAATAGTTATATAGGCTGTCAATGTCAATGTCTAAATGTTAGGCAATCATTTTAAATGAAGTCTAGGCAGCATGAGGTGGACTCTATGCTTAGTGTCTTAAAAGGTTGAAATCTAAGTGCTACCCAATCTGCATTTTCACCTGGAGAATTTGATAAGGATTCATTTGGATTGTTGGTGGAATCCATTCCCTTGTTTTATAAAACTGATGCCCTTGTTTTCTTCCTGGCTGTCACCCAAATGATGCTCTCAGCTTCTAGAGGCTGTCCTCAGGTTCTCTCCATGTGACCTCTCCATGTGGCCCCTCCATCTTCAAAGTCAGCTATTGGTGTGAAATCATTCTCATGCTTCTAATCTCTCTGATTTACCCTATGGTTTATAGCTGGAGAAAATGCCCCACTTTTCAAGGGCTCATGGGAATCGTGTTGCATCATAGTCAGTGGTTCTACCCACACTAAAAGGGAAGAAAATTTGACAGGAACAGGGGTCATTGAGATTCAACTTAAAATCCTGCCCATCATATCTTTCTTTCCATTTTTGTAATCCACATTACTATAATGAAGAATACTTTTCTAGTCAAAAAATATTTTATACAATAGGCTTGATTTTTTTACAATAAGTTAATAAAATCAAGGTAGAATTAAAATTTACATTGTAAACTAAAAATCCAAGTTACTTTTTTCTTATTTAAAAAGAAATATAGATAAGATTTGAATGTTCCGTATGTTCTTTGTTGTCAGTGCCCACTTCCACATGAAATAATTGATAAATTTCTACATAATTATAACCCCCATCTTATTTAAATTTATATCCCACAAACCAAGCCATCCTGCTTTATTTAGTACTAAAATTCTAAATGTATATCCTGCCTAATGCCTACATCCCAACCACACATTAATTCCAAAGCATTTCAGTAAGCCACTATTTGGTTGACATGTCAAATCCTAAGAAAACAGACTTACTGCTCTCATACTTATGGAGTTAGAATGCTGTTCATGGGGAGGGTGCTGTAAGACAGAAAGAACTATTATTTCTGTCAAGTTATTGACTATTCACCTGATGGCTAGAGTCACGGGCAAAAATAGCTGAGGACTAAACAGATACATTGCTCTTAAAAAAAAGATAGTGCAACAAAGGCCTAATATCCAGAATCTATAGAGAACTTATACAAATCAGCAAGCACAAAACGAATAACCCTATTAAAAACGGGCAAAGGACATGAACCAACACTTCTCAAAAGAAGACATACAAGCAGCCAATAAACAGAAAACAATCAACAGAGAAATTCAAATCAAAGCCACAATGAGATACCATCTCACACTAGTCAAAATGGCCATTGCTAAAAAGTCAAAAAAAAAAAAAACAGATGTTGGCAAGGCTGCAGAGAAAAGGCAACACTTATACATCAATGGTGGGAATGTAAATGAGTCCAGCCACTCTGGAAAGCGGTCTGGAGATTTCTCAAAGAACTTAAAACAGAGCTACCATTCAACCCAGCAAGCCCACTACTGGGTATATAACCAAAGGAAAATAAATCATTATACCCAAAGGACACATGCACTCACATATTCATCACTTTGCTATTCGCAATAACAAAGACATAGAATCAACCAAGGTACCCATCAATAGTAGATAAAATTTTAAAAACATGGTACATATACACTAAGGAATCCTACAGAGTGACATAAAAGAAAGAAGTCACGTACTTTGCAGCAACATGGATGGAGTCGTAGGCCATAACCCCAACTGAATTAACACAGGAACAGAAAACCTAATATTGCATATTCTCACTAATAAGTGGAAATAGAACACTGAGCACACATGGACATAAACATGGGAACAACAGACACTGCAGACTATCAGACAGGGGAAGGAGAGAGAGGAGGGCACGGGTGGAAAAACTACCTATTGGGTACTATGCTCACTACTTGGGGGATGGGTTCCATGCCCTAAACCTTAGCATCATGTAATATTTGCACATAACAAACCTGCACATCTAGGCTCTGTAACTAAAATACAAGTTGAAATTTCAAAAAAAGATATCCAGCTTCCACATTTCTGAAATTTACTCCTGCCTTTAAAAACCCTTACCTTCAAGCCACTGGGAAGTTTTGATCTTAAGCATGAACTGCCCCAATATTCCTTGCTTGGCACCCAGCAAATAAGGGTCTCCCTTTCTACTCTGTTGCAAATTAAATAATAATGATAATAATAATGGTGGCAGTCACAAGAGATTTGAAGGGGAGAGAAAATGAAAACTAAACAGAGTAACAAATTTCTATATAATGAGCCATCTTATTATATATAATAATAGGTACAAAATTACCAATACAATCTTTGAGCTTTCTAAAAGTTATATGGTGTTTATCAGTAAAATGTTTACCCTGTGGTCTTTTTTTGCCAATTTTTTAACGTCAAATTTCAAAAATACAACTTTTTAATATAACACTGTTACGTTACATCATACCTGAAAAAGATAGTGGATGACTATTATTCTGGAGATATTTGATTTGTTATCTGAATTTATATCCTGTAAATGAGGATACTGATTGTCTGCTAAATTCAAATACATTTGTTAAATTATTGCTTTCATGTTGACATAACTTTTAGTCACATAATAAAACACAACACTGGAAAAGCAGAGTTGGAAGCTGTAGTCCTAATTCTATGAAGGAGGATTGCTATTGCTATACAGGTGGGAGATACTATGTTTCCTTCAGAGTTTTCCTGCAATGGGTATTACACAGGATGAGATCAGAGACAAAGACATAGGTGGCATGTCCCCCAACCATAAGAAAGTGATTTTCTCACGGCAATACATTTTAAAGAAAATATTAATATTTATTTGTTGAAGATATTTTGCCCTGTATAGATAAAAATAATGCTACTTGTTAACTTGAAAAATATTTTCTAGGAATGGAGATATGTGTTGAAACATCGCCCATCTCTGGCAAAATCCTCCTTATAAGAATTGCCTAGCTTTAAGAGTTCAGTCTACAATCATAGAAAAGTGTTAAATAAATTAATCTTGATTATCAAATACCTCACCATGGCTTCATCCGCACGCTTTTTTTTTCCAAAGTGACCTAATTAGCTCATGTTGATTAATGTGTAGTAGTTTCATTTTCATTTAATATTATCATCAATTGATTACACAAAAAAAGTTATAAATTCAGAAGGCATTTAAGTATATACATAGAGAGAGGGTTTTACTAGCATTTAAGAAAGTACTATTCTCTGCAATAGACTCTCAGATTTACTAAGGCAGGGACCATGGTTGGCTTACATTTATAACCCACTGGGACACAGCACAGTGCTTAGTACATAGTAGCAACCACTCCACATTCATTTAATTAATTAAGGTCATCTCACAAGATTTTGAGAATAAAGTATAATTAGTAGATGGTAGCATTGCGGAAATTCTAAAGTACAAAACACTTGAGAAGCAATTTTCCTTATTTCCCTGTCTTTAGATAAACCTATATTTTAAAATCTGACCAAAGAAAAATGATATGTAAAAGTAACAACTGTCTCTATTGGATGTGGCTAAATTAACTAAGGTTAATGGTTGATGTACTTGAGTAAGTTAAAAATGATC
Source organism: Homo sapiens (assembly GCF_000001405.40). Taxonomy (NCBI): domain Eukaryota; kingdom Metazoa; phylum Chordata; class Mammalia; order Primates; family Hominidae; genus Homo; species Homo sapiens. Next base: position 96,178,859 of record NC_000004.12, on the reverse strand, counting down.
CTGTAGTGTGACTGTAAAAAGAAGCATACTCTTTGAATCAACTAGCGATTCCATAAAATTAGGTTATTTATTACAATCTCAGTGTTGTTTTCCCCCATGTATCACAGTTTAACAATATATCTCATACAAGCTATGTTTCTTCATCAGTAGTATTAGCATTCTTCCTAGAAAAGGAAAAGGGAAAGTCTTTTCAATTATAAGTCAATATGTAAACTTTAAAATTTAAGAATAAAGTTGGTAAGAGAGGCAGAAGACCTACATGAAATGAACTATTTCAATGTATTTAAATTCAACAAAGGTCACAAAATGTTACCTGAATACATGGAAAGACTAAGTATCTCTCTCATATGAAAATATTTTATGTGATACATGTTAAATTTCCAAAAGATAATGTCTGTGCAGTCTCAAATGTAATTTTGGGGGAGAATTTCATTTAGTTATATTCTTCTATATATTTATATATTTCCTATTTTAAAAGACAAATACTACCTGAGAACAACCAATAAATTTTGAGAGTAGAATCAAGAGACTGAAACAAGAGAACAAAATCTTGTTTACATGATGGCAAAATACAGTATTAAGCCATTGTGGTAAAACAAAGGATTGTTTTTAGACTTGTGTCTAACATGATTTGTAATGTTTTATTTAACTTAAATATTCAAGTAAATCTGAGAGAATTTTACTTTTTTATATATCTGTCTTTATTTTTATTGCATATATTTATGGGGCACAACATGATGTTATATATATTATATAGGGGAGTGATTAAATAAAGCTAATTAGCATATCCATCACGCCACATACTTGTAATTTTAATGGTGAGAACATTTAACATATAGATGCTTCACAAGTGTATATTTTCAAGTACACAGTACGTTATTATCAACTGTAGTCACCATGTTGTACAATAGATCTCTAGAACTTATCTTCCTATCTAACTAAAACTTTATACCCTTTGACCAACATCTTCCCAACCCTCCCCTGCCGCATCCCAGAGTAACTACCATTCTAATCTCTACTTCTATGAGCTACACTTTTTTAGATTCCACATATTAGTGAGATTATACAGTAGTTTTCTTTTTGTGTCAGGCTTATCTCACTTAGCATAATGTCTCAAGGTTCATCCACCTTAGATGCTAACCAATCAACAAGTCTCATCCAGTTTTCAACCCACTTATTCCCCTGAAAATCCACCAATCCCTGAAGACCATTCTTCCCAAAAAACATATATGATCAACAGTCACCTCTGCAACTGATAGGCACAGCTTTCCATGGTGCACAAAATAAATGCAGCTAGATCTTTTCAGTTGAGATAACTGGTCTTATAAGCCTTTAACAGAATCTTCTAACTAAAAACCCTATAATATAATTTTACAATAATTGACAATTATTAAAGATATGAGGGTCTCACTGCATCTAAGTGACACTTGCTATCCCTTTCAGAATTGGGTTTGTTAAATAAAAGTAATAGAGTGGCAACAATGATTAAGTAAAAAAAGAAGATTCCAGAGTCAGACACTCCTAGATATTTTCCTGGATCTATAATTTACTAGATCAGTGACATCACTGAATCTCAAAAAATCTCAGTTTCTCATATGTAAAATATGATTAATAAAATAATTTCAGAGTAATTTTGTAAAGATTAAACTAAGTAGTTTGTCTAAAACATAAAGCTTAGTCCCTGGCACAATGTAAATATTCAGTAATGCCAGTGTTCTGTTATTATATTTCCGGTTCAATATGTTTTCTGTTATAATTCAAGTTTACCAATTACAGCTTTTAAATGCATTTAGTTATAGCATAATAAGGTTTTGGAAGAGATACAAGTAGCTTACATATTTTATGGTGCAATGGTTTGATAGTATTCTATCTTTTTGGGTTTTTTTCCAGCTTAGGAAAATAATGTGGTGCTAGAGAATAACTGTTACCAGTTGCACGTAAAAAACATGCTACCAATGAATCTCAAGAATATTTAGAGACAACTATTGTTCCCAGTTGTTAATCATTATATTTAAACTAATTATTTCTTGGGTTAAGACTTCCTTCATATACACAAAACATTTATATGACATATTTAACATATGTGACAGAGGCACAACAGAACACAAAGCATAATAAAAGCATGGTGAAAATACTGCATGATTTCTTTGTGGGAAATTTTGGCTCATGTTGTATGGTAATCACTTTTAAATGTGAAATTACCAGAATTATAATTCATATTGGAATCCAATACAAACTCAAACACAAAGAGTACTTGTAATAACTAGAAGACTAACAGCAATTTGCCAATTTAAATAATGTTACCATATAAGCATATACATCAACAACTGACCAAAAATCTTCAAAGATTGGTTTAAATTCTGAGTAAATTCTTTATATCTCAAAAGAATATTCTTTTGTATTTTAGAGACTGTTTTCTCCTTAACTGTGATTTTCTTAGTGATGATGCTGCTTTGTCCCAGAGGGATCTCAAATGCATAGTCATTTTTTTTATTTTATTTGCTGTAATATATTTCCTACAACTAATAAAAATAAAATCCAGACGTGTTGAACCTTGGTGAAATGAATGCAGTGAAATTGTCAGAATGAATTTGTCTAAGTGAAAATTACATAAGACAATGAATGAACTTCTGGGGCTCAGAAGAAGGTTGTGCGAGGGAAGCAGAGGGCATGAGGGCATGGTGCCTATCACAAAGTAAGCATTCGATAAGTAGTTGTTGAATGAATGAATACAGGAATTAACATGAACTACAGACTCAGGAAAGCCTTGACTCAACAAGCCCTTGCAGATTTCTTGTTGGTTCACTGCCAAGGCTCCTTGACACAGACCTTTCCTCTCTAGAGGTGTTTTTGAATCGTTTCTTTCCATTACCTCTTCTCCTTTCTATTCCTATTAGTTTAAAACACAGTGGCACAGCATATTCAGTTATATTGAATCATCTGATTTTCCGAGCCAACTATCAAGGACACAGAGAAACTCTTAAGGCTTTATAACCTCAAGCTATTTTCTACATATAAGAGAATTGGTTCACATTTTTTCGTGTGCTTAATGGATATTCAGTAAGTGGGAGTGATATGTTTATTTGGCTGACAATCAGAGATACATGAAATTACTTAAATTATTAGGAAGGTAATCACATGTTAAAGAAGTTTTTGGACATAGAGTCAACTTGTTTTTCCAACTAGATTGTGCAAGTAATTAACTAACAAAATAACTCATTCTAATTATCTCTCAAATTTGGTATTTAGGATTTTGTATATCCCCAGTTTAAAACAAATAAAAGCAACAGGCAGAGAATCCACAAAATACTCCAACTGAGTACAGGAAGAGAATAAGCTTTTCTTTTATAATTGTTTTATTTAAACTAAAACAGGGCTGACAGTAGTAGATGCACATAATATATGACTCTCTCTCTATATATATATAGTTATGTAGTCATATATATATATAGTTATGTAGTCATATATATATATATGGTAAGGGTGCAATAACATTCTATAGATCAGAGAGAGCCCTGAGGACTCATTCCAGATGATGTCTGGGATAATTCCTTACAGTTCTTCCATTTTTAATTTTGTTATTTTATTTCCATTACCTACATGAATATTATTTTAATATAATGCTACTTTACAAAAAAAAATCCCTAAGCATCATAGAAAGTCTAGGCAGAAACATTATAATTTAACCTCAGAGTAAAAACGTTAAATGGCAAAGTTCTGGTCACAGAGCTTTCACATAATTGTATATTTCTGCAAAGACTTAGAAGGTTCCTTAAATACAATTTGAAGACTCGTTATCATAACCTTTTTTGTATTTGGTGCATCTGATAATGTAAGAAAATTTAAATTAAAACCTTAGCAGTAGTCTTCATAGAATTATATTGGAGAAATTATTTTGAGAACTTTTATAGACATTCCCATATATGTTAACTCTTTCAGGGCCTTAATAATTCCAACTGAAATTACAAATGTTAAAAATCACAAATAACGTATTTATTTATAATAAGTCTAAGTGTTTAAATAATTTAGGCATATGCATATAAAATACAAAAATCTACTTCTTCCTCATTTGCTCTTCTTTTTGTAACAAAATTAATTTAATGCAAATAATACATAAAATCTATTTGAATGGAGAACCACTGGAGGTATCTATATAAACTCCTAAATAATTCAAATTTGACTAAAGTCCTGAATATTTTTTCATGTCAAAAATATGATTACAGCTAAAATTATTTTGACCCTAAAAATGTTGTACATAAAATGAAAACTGTTGCAATGTTTAGAACCTTAAGAAAATAATTGAGTCCTAAATACCAGGATAGTAAAGAGTGGCTTAGTATAAATAAGTGTATCTGTTAACCCTTTACCAAATTTACCAAAAGAGTTTTTCATCCGATAACCACACTGTGGATAAAGTCAAGCAAAATTGTATTTTCTGAGACTACAAAGTAACAGGAGATAAAAATTAACAAGGAAAGCGGAGAAGAAGGGAGGAGAAAAATGAGGAGGGAGTAAGAGAGATAGAAAGTAAGAATGCTGGACTTAATGCTTTTCATTCTTAAATTTTAAATATATTTACCACTATAGAGTTGACAATAGCTGAGGGACAGCATTTATTTCTTATAGATCTTCAGACAATAAAGTATTCTAAATATCTTTCTTTATCTTAAAAATAATTTGATAACAACTATAGATTCTTTTTGTGGAGAGCTGTTCTTGCTCCCAATCTCACTTCTAGTTATATAGTAAATGAACTATGGAATTTTTTCTTCAGAAATCACGTTGGAATAAATGGAGTGCTAAAGGGATATTACTGCATATTTTGTCACCTTACATTTAGCTACCAAGATTAACTATGTCCCTTTAATTGCCCAGAGTTAGAAAGCAGGTTCTAGTTAATATCTAACGAAGAAAAGAGAGAGAAGGATTGAGGGCAAGTGAATAAGTGTAGTGAGTCACGAAGCTTAATAGAACAGACTGTAGAACAATAATTTACACATCTAATGGAAAGAAGAAACATCAAAAAACATTTTTGTCTACAAAAATCTCATGTCAGAGGGCACTGGCTCAACCTCAACAAAAACAAATAAAAATCAACAGGAACGTCATAAACCCCCTTACTTCTCCTCCATCAAATAAGGTTAGATAGTCAAAGAGAAGTAATGTCTTCATAGAAATATTAATTATGTGCATATAGAAAGCTTTGGGGTTTTTTTTGAGAGCACTCCTAAATATTGCACCTGAAATAAGGTAGAAGAAATTTTGGGTTACTAACATTTACATGGATGCCATGACACGGAGAGCGAAAGTTCTACTGAACCTTTATGGCAATAAACATACTCCAAATTTCTTCTATAAACAGCATCAGCATGCAAGGATGTCCATGTTATTCTCATTCCCATAATTTCACATTATTTTTCAACTCACGACCTTAGGTGGTGTGTGATTTGGTATAAAGTGAGTTGGATGATGATAAAGCAATACTCTGCCTTTTGTGCATGCTTTTATTAAAAATGATGTCAAAATTTACATGATAACCAAAATTTAGGCACATAGTTAAAGCCTGTTATGTGACAAGCATGATGCTAAGCTCAGAGCAGAATGGGAGAGAGGCAGCATATCCATCTTGCATGTCCTCAAGTCATATATAATTTTAACAGCAATATTGGTTATTTAGATAAAATTTTTCAGTGCCAGAGGTGCTTTCTCTGATAACAATGGGTAGTGTAATTGGTGACGTTATCTCCACCCTTAGCAAAATATTTTTAAAGTACAGAAAAGAATACTGTTAAATCAATATAAAAGGAATTATGTCCTTCAACTCATAGAGGTAAATTTATAAGGATATATTTTTTTCTGATTCTTGGATAAAGAATATTGTTGGTTCTATTCCTTGCAGCATGGCTAAATTAGCTACTATCTGGCAAGGTTCTGAATAGTCCCTTGGAATAAAAATTTAAAAAAGGGGTATTGGCATCAGTGGACAGTATCTAAGACATCGAGGATCAAATCTAAACCTAGGAAAATAGGGATTTTGTTTAAAGAAAGTAAGCCTGAAACAGCCTACGAATATAATAATGAAAGAGACGCCATTCCTGGGCTTATCAATTTAGAATCAAACTGAAGAAGTAGAGCACAAGTTAGACTAAAGACTTAGGTGAGTGTATTAGAATACCACAGACAGATTTATATAAAATCAACACGTTCCACAAAATCTGGGCTTTTTTCCCCCAGAAAGTTAAAAAAAAATCAACACTAAATCCTAGGAGAATTATGCAAGGAAAATGTTTGCCTGTCTTTGTTTTCTTCAAAGTGATGCCATGATGAATATTTAAAATCAGATCACAGAATTCATTAAAGCACAGACTATTAATAGTTGCTCACTGTTGGCCGGACGCGGTGGCTCACGCCTGTAATCCCAGCACTTTGGAGGCCGAGGCGGGTGGCTCACGAGGTCGGGAGTTCAAGACCAGCCTGGCCAAGATGGTGAAACCCCGTCTCTACTAAAAATACCAAAAATTAACCAGGCGTGGTGGCACGCGCCTGTAATCCCAGCTACTCCAGAGGCCGAGGCAGAGAATTGCTTAAACCTGGAGGGGCGGAGGTTGCAGTGGGCCAAGATCGCACCACTGCACTTCCGCCTGGGTTACAGAGCGAGATTCCGTCTCAAAAAAAAAAAAAAAAAAAAAGCTTGCTCACTGTTGTCATTGGTCTACTCTCAAAAATCATATAAATTTTGGTGCAACTAAATTCCTATGCAATTAGAAGTTATACAATTCTTTGGGTTTTGTGCCTCTTTTGTACACGTGTGAAAACATATCATATACATATATATATATATATATATATATATATATATATATATATGTATTCATTTATTCACATATACATGTATAGTCATTCCTCAGTATCCCTGGGGGATTGGTTTCAGGATCCCGGAGGATACCCAAATCCGAGGATGCTCAAGTCGCTTACATAAAATTTGCACAAAACCTACACACATCCTCCCCTATACTTTAAACAATGCCTACATAGCACTTCATTCCCATGGATTCAACCTGGTACTCAGAGGGTGACAAATTCAAGTTTTGCTTTTGGGAACTTTGTGGAAATTTTTTCCCTAATATTTTCAATTCGCATTTGATTGAATCCACAGATGCTGAATCCATGGATACAGAGAGTCAACTATATATAATTCCATTCATATGCTTTGCTAAGGTAAATGTAAAACATGTTCACACCACTTAAATGCCAAAATATATAACATGAAATTTTAAAATCATGAGCCTCTGCCTTCCTCGGCCTTACTCCTTGCCCCACAGACTTTACCACCACTGTCAGTGTAGTACACATTATTATTATTCCGTGTATTTTGCTCTTCTAATACAGTCATATATAAAACATATATAGCTTTTTAATTATTTTTTTCACAACCTGCAGTTATAGTAAACATAATATTCTGTGCGTTTTTTCACCTGACTATTGGAGCCATACATTTTCCATTTCATTTAACTAGCTTCCCAGCATTCCACAGTTTAAATGAACCAACTTAACCATTCCTCTTTAGGTGGAAATGCAGGTTTTACCCGATTTTTACTTCCATGAACGATGATGCAATAAACATCTTCGAAATTTATTTAGAATCAATGTTGCTTTTTTTTTTTTTTTTTGAGACGGCCTCTCGCTTTATCACCAGGCTGGAGTGCGGTGGCGCGATCTCGGCTCACTGCAGCTTCTGCCTCCCGGGTTGACGCCATTTTCCTGCCTCAGCTTCCAGAGTAGCCGGGACCACAGGCGCCCGCCACCACGCCCGGCTAATTTTTTGTATTTCACTAAAGACAGGGTTTCACCGTTTTGCCCAGGCTTGGCTACGAACTCCTGAGCTTAGGCAATCCGCCCGCCGTGGCCTCCCAAAGTGCTAGGATTACAGACGTGAGCCACAGCGCCCGGCCTGAATTAATACTACTTTTAATGTCTGAAACATTTCCCGGAGTGGAATTGCTGAGGCAGCAGAAGAGCTTTTAAAAATTTGAAAAAAAAAAAAGCTTGTTCCAGTCTCACCAGCAGCATGTGAGAGAAACCCATTTCTCCACGCCCTCACAACACCACTGAGTGTTGCCTTTTCTGTTTTCTTTTGTTTTTGGTCAGTCTGATAAGCATAACACAGTGTGTTGTAGTTGTTAAAGTCCTTACCTTAACTACTAGTGAGCAAGACTGGCTACGTGATTGGTGGAGCCCAGCACAAAATGAAAATGCAGGGACCCACCTGGAATCAGGAAAGACACACTGCCACTGCAGATGGGTGACTTTCAAGCGACTGCTGCCTTTACATCTGGGCACATAGTAACTGGACGCGAGCCCCGCGGAGTAGCCCGCTGAACAAGCAGTGATGCAGCCAGCAGCAGGATAGCCACTGCTTTGTCCCGCCCAGAGACCACCTGGGGAATGTGTCGCACTTCGCCCCTTTCAGTACCCATGAGTATGCCCCCTGCTGGCAGGGAGGGCAACCGCAAAATGGGGGCTTTCCCTGCCAACACAAGCTGATCTCTGCCTCCCACCCGGTAGGTGGCGGGGTGGTGAGGAGAAAAACCCAGGGAGGTAGCAAGGAGGCAGGAAGAAGGCCCGAGGTGGGTCTCATCTGGCCTGAAACTCCAAGTTCCCGGCGTTTGCTCCATTGTCCCAGTAGAATTCACTGACAAAACCCAAATTCAAAAGTAAAATTATAAGAATTCCAAGATGGGCAGGGTGGGATGGCTCACGCCTGTAATCCCAGCACTTTGGGAGGCTGAAGTGGGCGGATCACGAGGTCAGGATATGGAGACCATCCTAGCTAACATGGTGAAACCCCGTCTCTACTAAAAATACGAAAAATTAGCCGGGAGGCTGAGGCAGGAGAATGGCATGAACCCGGGAGGCGGAGCTTGCAGTGAGCCCAGATCGTGCCACTTCACTCCAGCCTAGGCGACAGAGCGAGACTCCGTCTCAAAAATAAAATAAAATATAAAATAAAATAAAATAAAATAAAATAAAATAAAATAAAATAAAATAAAATAAAATAAAATAAAATAAAAAATAAAATAAAAATTTAAAAAAATTCCAAGATGATGGCTTCAGAGCAACAAACCCCATGCAAAGAAGCCTGCTCAGTGCAAGAATCTATGTGGTTGCACTGGCAGCTTGGCCCCTGAAGCACCCTGCTAATGAGAGTGAACATCTACTCATGAGTTTATCAGACTTCTATAGCTCTTTTTCTTTAAATTTCTTGAGCACATCCTTTGTTCATTAAGATGTTTGTTTACATTTTTCTTCCACATTTTAGGATCATTTTGTTTAAGAGTAATAAGATCATATCTTCTTCCCAATATGTTATCTTCCTTTTTTGTCTTTTTAGAGGCTTCAAAATTTTTGTGCAACAAAGTAGTTCAGTTTTTTTTTCTTTATGGACTCTAGGAGTAAAAAGATCTTATCCACTCCCAAATTATGAAAATACCCTGATATTTGTATCAAACCCTGTTTATTTATTTACTTAACAATTTTTACATTGTGAGCTCTAATTCAATGCAAATACACTTATGTATACCTTTGGATCTAATTTTATATTTTTCAAATGGATCATCAATTGCCCAACACTATTATTAATCAGTATTGCCTTTTTTAGCCAGCAGATAATTTAATCTATATCACATATAAAATTCCCATTTACACTTGGATAAATTTTGGTTCTCTCTTCTATTGAGCCACTGTGTCATTATGATACCTATCTGATTACAGTATTTTTATTGTGAATAAAAATATTGATATTGATTATTTAAAGGTTAGGAATAGGTAGTGAATTCTATGCATAATAGCTTAGCTGTTATAAATATGTGCAAGTGCTTAACCATGTATTTTAAATAATAAAGTTTGGTGTAATAAATAACATAAAGAATTGTGAGTCAAATTTCATAAAGAAATTCTATTCAAGATCAGGTGCAGTGGCTCACGCCTGTAATCCTAGTACTTTGGGATATCAAGACGGGTTGATTGCTTGAGTTCAGGAGTTCAAGACCAGCCTGAGCAACATAACAAGGTCCCATCTCATGAAAAAATAAAAACTAAAATTAGCCAGGCATGGTGGTGTGTGCCTGTAGTCCCAGCTACTCTGGAGGCTGAGGTGGGAGGATTGCTTGAGCCCAGGAGTTTGGGGCAGCAGTGAGCTGTAATTGTGTCACTGCGCTCCAGCCAGGGTGACAGAGTAAAACCCTGTCTCACAGAGAAAAGAAAAGAAAAGAAAAGAAAATTATATTTATATGAGTACCAGTCAACAGGTAAATCGTCTATGCTTTGTGTACCTTATTTTTTAATTTGTAAAACAAGGATAATAAAATCTTTTTCCCCAAACCGACTTCTTGCAACATAACACTCAATAAATACAAATGTTCCTTCATCATAAGATAAAAGTATTCCATTTTAATTGACACCCTGGAGATATCTTTGCCTATAACGTCCTTTGTTACTTTCAAAGATCTGCCTTTTTTCTGGCAATCAGGATAGAGCTGGAAATTTTTAACCCAACTGAAGTCTCCATTTTTCAATAAAGAATTGTAACTTATTTACAGTTATTCTTATAATAAATACATTTGAGTTTATTCATCCTGTCCTATTTGACTTTTCTCATTCAATATTCTTTCTTTTTCCTTTTTGTATTACTTGATAAAGTAATTTGTCTGTTTTTCCTCAAGTCAATAATTTCAAGTCTTTATGCATATACATATACAATTTCCTCTGCTTTTCTTCATGATTTTAATGACAACAGTTAAGCATATGTCTATTTATTAATACTGTCCATTGAAAGCAATTAATAAGTCTTTCCTCTAACACAAAATCTTCAGGACATACTTATTTTCTTCTTTATTTTTCCAATCTTCATGAACTCTTATGTTTTATTAAGTGAACTGTAAAACTGTAATCTTTTTTGTTTGTTTTTGTTTTTACCAAATGCTTCTCATATCAAGAATTGTGTTCACAACCATACTGTCATCATCAGTTTGGATTAACTGTGAATTCTATTAGATTTTTTTTTTTTTTTTGAGACAGGGTCTTGCCCAGTCACCCAGGCTGGAGTGCAGTGGTGTGATCATGATCATAGCTTACTGCAGCCTCAACCTCCCATGCTCAAGCGATCCTCCCACGTCACCTTCCAAGTAGTTAGGACTACAGGTGTGCACTACCACATCTGGCTAGTTTTCTTTCTTATTTTTTATTGAAATGGGGTCTCTTTATGTTGCCCAGGCTGGTCTCAAGTGATCCTCACACCTCGGCCTCCCAAAGTGTTGGGATTATAGGCCTGAGCCACCATGTGTGGCCTACTAGATTCATTTTTAACTGTGCTTTCTTAGTAAACTGTCCTCTATTTTGAGATTTTTTTATATGAATTAAAAATGACATGATTTTCATTCAACCCTAGTGTTTTCTTGAGTAATTTTTTAAGAATGTCTATATCCCTTTCATAGAGATATATAAGGGATTATATACACATTGTCCCAGAGTATGTATAGTCTGTGTGTGTGTGTGTGTGTGTATGTATGTGTATAAGTGTACGCATAGCTAGCTTGCTTTCTTGCTTAACTTTTTTCTTCTTCTTTTTTTTAATATCTTGACAAATTGAAGAATTCTTGGTTCAGAGAATTGTACTGTCTTCTAGACTTCATTGGTGCAGATGTGATGTGTGATCAAAATTGACTCTACTTTGCTCTCATGAAGTTTATATGCTTTTTCAGTTCATCCTTAGAGTGGATGAAATTGCACCAGGCTAGGTCTTGGTGTGTACCTTCTTTTCATTAATCATACTTGGCACTAGGTTGGCATGACTTAAAACCTCAACTCTTTTGCAACCAATGTGATTGCTCTATTCATGGTTTGTGTGTTTCCTATAATGTCTTTTTCATTGCCTTCCAGAATGCCTATTGTTCAGTAGTTTCCCTGGATTTCTTCTAAATTTCCCTTGTTCCTGTCATTCTTGAATCTTCATAGTGTACTGTTTTGTTCTGGGAAACTTTGCCATTTGATTTCCCAAATCATTAATTCAGCTTTCAGTCTTGTATTTTTCACTTTTTCTATTGACTATTGAATATTTGAAATACAAAATTACATTACAAATGAGCTGTTAAAAATTCTAAGGTTGTTATTCTTCAATGTCACCATCTGCTTAAAAATTCCTTTCTGTAAAATGGCTTTTAAAATTTTTACTGAATAAAATGAAGAAAAAAATTTGACTTCTGAAGGCTTACATATCTGAAATAAAATCCTGGTTTGGCCAATTACTACTTTTTTATATTTTTTCCTTGGACAAATAGCTTTACCTCTGTATATCTCAACTCTGGGAAACTGTTGTGAGAATTAAATGAAAGGCTGCATGTGAAGAAAACTTAGCTCATAGTAGACAATAAATGTGAATCACTTGCATTAACGAAACCATAAACTCTGTAAGAAAATGTGCTTTGCATAACTTTCTTTATATAAAAACAATCTTTTATATGGAATATCATTCCTTGTTATCAAGCACAATGTCTCAACTTAAAAAAATTTAATATATCCAATTCAGATACTACTTACTTATTTATGGTCTTAAAGACCCAAATGTACATGCCTTTGAAAACTTTTATTATCAATATTTTTTGTATTTAGGCATTCTAGCTTATTATTGTAGTAGACATCCAGAAGATTGTTTTATTCAGTAAAAATTTTAAAAACCATTTTACAGAAAGGAATTTTTAACCACCTTGCATTTTTTCTTTTGGATGTCTACTACAATAATAAGCTAGAGTACATTTGGGTCTTTAAGACCATAAATAAGTAAGTAGTATCTGAATTGGATATATTAAATTTTTTTAAGTTGAGACATTGTGCTTGATAACAAGGAATGATATTCCATATAAAAGATTGTGGTTAAAATTTACCTTGAAATATTTTTAAGTTTTCTCATCTTTCATTATATTTTTAGAATCAAAAAAACACATATTTTTATTCTTTTGCTGTTTACTTATAATATTGGCTATATTCCTGGTCATTTTCAAGAAACAAAGGAAACTGAACACTTGAGAATCCTTGAGATTTGGTTGTGGTCCTGGCACCAGCTACCACAGGGCAGCTCTCTGTCTCTCTATTGCTTCTTTTAACATGTTAAAATTGGAAACCAGTTAAAATAGATGCATACAACTAATGTAAATTTTATTCTCCCATTCCAAGTGTTCTGAAAATCTGTTCTTAAGTAGTTGGTGAATATTATAATTGATATATTAGAGTTAGGTTTGTGGTCTGGTAAGTCACAAATAAATGACCTATTTAGGTACACCCTGAATAATTTTTGTGCATTTGCTTCCATGTCTGTCAAATGGAAATTTTTTAAAAAATCTCACCCTTTCTACCTAACAGATGTGTTTCAAGGCAAAAAACACATTTCAAAAATACTCTATACTTATCAGATGCCCTTCTGTACTAAAGTCATTGTATGCAATTGCTTCCAACAAGAACAAAGCCGCCAAGGATGCTGGGCCTAGAGACGCCTGAGTGCTTGCTTTTCAGAGGACAGTATAAGGAGCAGTTGCCACTGGTGGTTTGTACTTCCTCAGTATGCCTGACATTTCTGAAACATGACTCTGTTGCCCAGGATCTGCCCTTGGCATTAAACAAGGAAAGATTAGGCTTCACTGAGTTACAGAAATCAGATGCCCCAAACAAACATACCAAAAGTTATGTGTGATAAATTGTAATGACATGGCAGGAATTTTGAGATGTAAGTAGAATGTTTTGTTATGTTGTAGCATAGTGGAATGAAATACCTTCCCATGTTCAAGACCTAAATAAAACAATCACTGTTATAAAACCATTGTATTTCCTGATGTTTTATTTTTTCTTCACTTAGACCAGAAGAGAAGAGATTCATGACTCATCTGTCAGTACAGCTTGTGATTTTGAAGTTGAAATGAGGCTAAAAATCTGTGGTCGGCATTCTTAAAATGATTTCCTTATGAAGATATGGCTAGAAGAGATACAGTCATAGATTCTCCCACATATTCCTTGATATTTTTTATTCACCACTGCAAAATTGTGCAAACAGCAAGAAACTTAAGATTCATTTTTCATTGCTACCCAACAATTTCAGGTCCTTAAATTAAATACTAAAATGAACAACTGGAACGATAATTAAGAATACCTCCTTTGGAAAAAAGACACTACATTTCTATAGTTTTCATTAAGTCCAAAGGATGGACACCCTGCTCAGTTACCCTGTAGTAAACCTTTTAAAAGCAACATGTTTTAAACAATGATTAGATTAGCACAGTGTGTCGTAGCCACAATACACTACCAAGCAAGGACTATGATAACAGAAAGCACAACAGCATAAATATATTCTTCACAGTTTGATGTTGTGAAAGTTTCTATTTCCATTTGACCAACACTCGAAATGCACAGTGGAAATTACAAAATGTCACAAAATAAATAGATCAAATTGGATGATGGACAGTCGGTAAGAGACACAGGTGTTTAGAGGACAGTAACTTTAATGTGAGTCTCAGGTTGCCACCTAGACTTCATGAAAAAGTAGGAAATACAATGTATAATAAAGAAGATTGAGTGCTGAGAGGCTGGGCTGAGCACTGCTTTGAGAAAGGAGAGACCTCAGTCAGAGTTGTCACGGGAACAATGGGTAGAGCAGAAATGACTGTCAACTTCTGTTCTAGTTGTATGGCAAAGGATACTATTCACCAGTGATGGGTTCAGTACATGCTACCCTAAGGTACAGCATCTTTGCATTTGGGAAAATAGCAGAAGGAAGGCCACCCTTACTTTCCCCTTGTCCTTCTCCCTTGAAGCAGGTCATAAAAATTTGAATGGTCACTCTCTGACCTTCTTCCTCTCCTGTCCCCTGCAAGGAGTGATGAGACTCTCTTTCAAGATGTGTCCTCCTTATACCCAGAGGAAAGGATTATCCTTCTCACTAAAGATACAGAGACACAGAGAAGTACCTGAACAAACAGGGCTTGCTAAGTCCCCCACAGTTTATTGCCATTAGATTAGACTCCCTTTGTCCAACCATAGTTCTTGAAACTAGCCACACCTACTTCAAACCTAAGCATAAAAATACACAAGTTTATCATTTCTTTGGGGTCTTCATTTCTTATGAAGGCAGTTATGTCACATAAACCTTAATTATATAAATCTATATGCTTTTCTCTTGTTAATTTGTCTTTTGAAAGCCCTCAGCCATGAACCTAGGGATGGGTGAAAAAAGATACTTTCTTTTCCCCTGCGCTAGTTGGCATCTTTCATGAATACACTATTCAGTTGCAGAGATAGAGCCATCGGTACCTTTTACATATAAGTATACACAATCCTATTATGTATACATGTATATGTGTGTGTATTTATGTATACACACACACACACACACACACACACACTCCTATTATGGCAATCTCTTCCTCCAGGAAAATGAGATATTTATCAAAATAAAAATTTATCCAGAAATTTTTGAAAAGAAAAAATAACCATTACTGATTCTTAAATCATTTGTTTTTGTTTTTGTGGGGTTTTTTTTTCCACTTAGTAAATGCCTACAAATCTTCACTGCATCTCCTTTAGATTGGGAATACACTTTTTGTTTTGTATGTAATCTGACAAAATACCTTTGCCACAAAATAATCTGATTGTTCTGCGAAATAGGTTATAATGATGTTTTATTTATTATCCCTGAAATAGAGCTTTTTTCTTCAACTATTTTCACTGTTTCTTCTTTCTACATCTTTAAAAAGACATAGGATTGACTCTTATTTTTTTCTTAATACATATTTCTCTTCCCAGGCATTTTGTGAAAGAATGCCTAAGTTACAATTTCTGTGGACTGTAAATCCACCAGATAATGTCTTCAAGATTGGGAAGACTTGCTGAGTAATAATATAGAGATCTGACCTTAAGTGCATCTTGCATAAGATGCTACATCACTCATTCTTTTTCCTCTCTCCATCTTCTGAAGAAAGCACCATCAAAAAGCACTTAAGCTTTCTAGGGCTCCTTTCACATTTACTTAACCTATGATAAAAGAAGGCAGATTTAGTGCTTCCTACAAAGCTCCCTCACAATCTCCTCCCTTACCCTCCTCCCACCCCAGGTCCTCTTACTAAACGCATATGTTTCCATTAGTGCTGCTTGTGGAACTGCAGGGCAGACTATTCACTGACAGACAGTACCTAGATGAAAAAGTTAGATGGTTTTCAGTGAATAAAGGAAGAAAGAGAAGGAGGAGAAAGCAAGAGCCTAAGAATTAAGAGGAGCAAGGATAGAGTGAAGACTATACATGAGAACCAAGAAGTTTTGCAAATAAAAAGCGGGGTGGGATTGGGGAGTGGGGGATTCACTAATTCACTAACTGGTTAAGTTCTCCAAAGCTATGAACAAGGTCCTAATCTTCCAGCATGTTGCCTTGACGTAAACTTTGTAAATATTTTCTGAATGAATAAAATTAATTCAAAATGAAGAAATTCAGTAAGAAAACGAGGGAAGATTTTGACACTCCTGATTAAATTGAAGATATTTCAGCGGGTACAAAAGCTGCCTCAGTAACAGGTAGAGTTTGTTTGCAGCAACCTTGCGTCATAGGTTTAAAAAGGAATATCTTCATGCAGTAATTATAAGAAAGTTTCTTTACTCCTGCTTAGCAATATGGTTCACATACCAATGCTAGAAGTTCTGTTTTATTTTCTGGGTTCAGACTTTTACTGAGGTTGAAATAATCTCCCATATTCTCTCTTTGCATCTTACATACATGAAGAGAAGTTGTAATTAGATACAGTGATGTGAACAACATACAGATACTTTCTTAAATCAGATTTTCAGAGAACAATAAGGTATAGAACAATTCACCTCTTGGAGCATCCTGATGTACCTGTTTCCTCACTTCCCCCTCGTAATTTTCTCCCAGCTCAATGCAGTCATCTTATCAAGACAAGCATCAACATTCTTTTGTTTCCTAATTACTCACCTTTCCCATTAGAATATGAGCCCTTCAGCACGCATGGGTTGTCAATCTGATGTACCGAAGCACAGAGTAGTTGCTCAGTACTACAGTTGAATGAATGACTTCTTTTTTTTTTTTTTTTTTTTTTTTGAAATGGAGTCTCGCTGTCGCCCAGGCTGGAGTGCAGTGGCACGATATCGGCTCACTGCAGGCTCCGCCCCCCGGGGTTCACGCCGTTCTCCTGCCTCAGCCTCCCGAGTAGCTGGGACTACAGGCGCCCGCCACCTCGCCCGGCTAATTTGTTTTTTATTTTTAGTAGAGACGGGGTTTCACCGTGTTAACCAGGATGGTCTCGATCTCCTGACCTCGTGATCCACCCGCCTCGGCCTCCCAAAGTGCTGGGATTACAGAATGAACGACTTCTGTTGCCTCTTGATTCTGGATTTTATTATTCTGATGCTAGAAAATTATGAGTCATTCAATGTTATAAGCTAATGATTTACAAACATGAATTTGTTCACTTCATGAAACTGGACTCTATATTTTCAAGGTTAAGTTAGACTTTCATCATTGATATACTTAATTACACGGCAATACTACGAGATCCTCTCAAAGAATTTTTGGAGTTAGATACACTGCCTGTCTTTACATTGCTTTATTCAGAAATATGTATGCAATGGTTTCTGTTTAAAATTATTAGCTCCCATGTTAGAGGAATGTGTTTGTTCACTTAAGTTATAAATCCAGGAGCACCTAGCATTTTACTGCCTTCAATATAATAGAAAATTTTGACAATGTCTTCAGGGTGTTTCTCTGATCTCTTGACTCTTGATGGTACCACATTGTCTTCTGATATTATCACTTAGGTCATATTAATTACAATGACCTTTTAACAGGAGTCTGTGGATCTAGATTATTTACCATTTATCAAATTGTTTTTATATTCTACTGAAAAAGTCTAATAAATCCCTGCTATCTAAGATATAAACCTTATTTTAATTAAACTGGCATTTACCATCTCTTGTAAATGTCTCACAACCTTTGTATTGGCATCATAACTTTACTTCTGTTCAAATGGATCATCACACCTCAATGTCTTTGCTAATTCTCTTATACCTTTCTGGAACTTATTTCATTCATTATTCCAAATGATGAGATTCTAATATAATAGACAAAAATATCCCTCATATTAAATCGAAGACTCTTCTGTTTGCGATTAGGATATGCAAAGATGATTATAATTTAATTTTTTTTCTATGATCAACTACAGTAAATGAAAAGACTCTAATCAAAATATGAGAAGAGTTCTGCCTGAGAGTGTGATGCAAACTGGACAGTTAGTGTTAAGGAGAGGCTGAGAGGGAGGAGAACAGAAGGAGGCAGTGCAATGGTGAGAGAGGCTGAGGACTTAGTGAGTGGGAATTTCCCGGTTGTACCATGTTTGTTCCCTAACAACCCACCATAAGTTGAATATTTAGTAAAGTCTACTAAATTATCATGTTTTGTGTCAACGTGTGAAATGGTTGAGCTTTGCATCCTGGTCACTGCAGAGAACAGGGAGCAACCTGTGAAGTAAGATGAGGAGCAGTAGAAACGAAGTTCCTGCACCCAGAGACTCTTGAAATGGTTTTAGATTCCTAAAGACTGGAAAATAATCACAGTATGTGAGGTAAGCATAATGAAGATAAAATTACAATTCTCTCTGTCTGTCTCTCCCACATGATTTTAATGAAGACCTTTTTTACTACCTAGTAGGAGTGATGGCTTCAATTTTAGAGCAGCTAGAAAGTAAAGCATCTGTATTATTTCAGCACGTGTCATACACTGCCTTGTTTATGAAAATTGAGTATGTGTATATTTACAGCAATCCATATCATTTTTTCACTTAATTATAACATGATATTAGTAAATAGTCATATTTTTACTTATTTGGATCCGTTAGAGCTTCTGAAGTTTATTAATAAGCACCTTATTAATACTTGGTTGATTGATTTGTTAATAATAAATCAGACTCAAAAGAAAAATCCAAATGAAAATTCAGAAAATGGAGAAAAGAAGATGACCCTGCTTCTCCAAAGGGATCTCTTCCCAGGGCCCAGGGAGGTTGAGCTCTGTACTTCTGTTGTCATCTCCTTGTCAGTAGTGATGATTGCTGCATTTTTCCCATATGCTGGTTTTCAACCATACATAAGAATTGTCAGTTAATTGATGCAAAAGAACCTATGATTTTATAGGAGTATTTTTTTTGTTTTATTTTCTAGTCTATTACAAAGAATTAGTATTCTAATTTGCTGAAAAGAAGAATAACTCGAATGATTTGAAAATTTCTCTTTTATCAATTCAATAATATGTTAGACATTCAATCCAAATGAGAATTAGAGATAAATCAGGTTAGATGTTATGAAAAATGTACTAACACTGGTTTCACTTCCTATAATTTTATAATATAAAATATATACAATTACATTAAGCAGTAAGATTTCTTCTTTTCAATAAACAAAATATCTAGGGATTTTATCTTGACATTTCACCTATCTAATACATGATTTGGGTAGGTTTCTGCTTTGTACTTCAGTTTCTTCATCTGTAAACTGATAATAACAATGGTTACTACCTCATAGGGTTTCTGAGTGGCTAAAAATAAATGAATACATAGAAGGCGCTTAGAACAATTACTGCCCATACCAACTCCTGTATAAATGTTTGCTATTACTCTTATAACTATTATATTAGGTTCAATTTTAAGCAAAAATACATCAACATACATAAAATGTCATAAATGACTTCAAGGCTAGTAAGGCACATTAATTAATACTATTTTAAGAGCTAATAGTAAAAACAAAAAGTTTTATTAAAAATAGAATTGTAGGCATAACATTTCAATTTAGAGAAATGGGACAACAATTTTTTATATCATCATTTGGAGAAAATTAAGATTTCAGAGTAATGTGAAAAAATACCTAAAGGAAAATCCCACCTCACTGATTTGGGTTCTTCCTCCTCCTGTGTCTTGAATGCTGTTTTTCCCCTCCAAAATTCCTGTTGAAATTTATATGTCATTGTAACAGAAGTAAAAGATGTAACCTTTAAGAGGTGTTAAGCCATGACAGCTCTGCCCTAACAAAGGGATTAATGCCATTAGAGTAGGAATGCATTCATTATTGTGGAAACAGGTTCATTATAAAAGGGAGAGTTAGACACCCCCTTTCTCCCTCTTTCTTTGTCCTTCTACCATGTGAAGCCTTTTGCCATGTTATGACATAGCAAGAAGGCACTTGCCATATGCTAACACCTTAATATTGGACTTCCCAGCCTTTGGAACTGTGAGCCTCTTCATTATAAATTAGCCAAACTCAGGTATTCTGTTACAGCAACACAAAACAGACTGAAACACCTCTTTGTTTAAAATATGACATATTACTCTTTTTGATGGAAACAAGGATTTCATCAGAGTCTTTCCTGGAGCAATACATTAAATGTATGGAGCAATACCTTAAATACATGTTAGGCTTAGAACCTGAACATGTTCTGGATTTAATTATAAAATGATATTCAAAATTTTGTGACTGGAAAATAATAAATACTTTAGTCCATATAGTATTCCTGCTGCTTGTATTTTATTATCTATCAGTACATATAAAATCCTTTACACACTAATCTCACAGGTACTTAGCAACCCAAATTCTGTTTACTTCCTCTGCACAGTCTCCTTCCATCCCCTTTTCTCTTTCCTCCTTTCTCCATTCATAAAACATTTTCTGCAATTATACATGTATGATATAACCTGTCTTTAATAGATGATTCTCCCATTTTCACTTGTGTAACTTCTAATCATTCCTTGAAACCCAAGACAAAAATGTTATCGACTGTGACTTTGTGTGTGTGTGTGTGTGTGTGTGTGTGTGTGAACTCTTGTGGGTAAATTTAATTGCTTTGCTCATTCTTTTGCAAAACTGTAGTATTTTCTCCCTCAGGAGAGCTTAAGAGGGGCCTCTCCTATTGATATCCAAAAAGCAACTCTATTTCATCTATGAGAATAAAATTTTCAAGTTCTTTTTTTGTTTATAGTGAGTTTGGAAGACTGGTAGATTGATAGCACAGTCTCCTGTACGATTCGAAGACTAAGCATTCAAAAATAGCACATTAGTAAATGATTGCAAAGATAGTAAAAACCTGAGAGTGTGTGTGTGTGTGTGTGTGTGTGTGTGTGTGTGTGTAAGAGAGAAAGAGAGTTGGGGCATAGTGACATATCTGTGCAATTCTTTTGGCCTCCCCACTTCACTTAAAATAAGGCAGAATATTTCACCACTCTTTGGGCTCTTTGCTCTGATTGGTCCCACAGACTGGAGGTCACAAATCACTCCTCATGTAGCTGCCTGTGAGAGACTTCTGCTTCTCATTCAAGTTTCTGTTCAAAAGTCACCTCAAAAGAAAGGCTTTTTCTGACAAGAAAACTAAATTATACTCCTCATTCTTTTCACCCCAAACATTCTTCAGTCCTTCTCGATCACCTTGCACTTTTATCTCTTTCACTTCTTTTGTCATCTAATTACTTTCCTTTTCTCTTCAGCATGGAGAAGGTACTATTAAATACAGAAAGGAAATACATTCCCAGGGGTGGAATTGATGGACCAAAGCCTGTAATATTAAGGCCTTGATACATTTTGCCAAGTTTCTATCAAGAGAGACTTTATTGCTATTGCTATCATTATACAACATGTATAATTTTAATACAGATATATAATTACACTATTCATTATAGTTATCACTTATTGTGTTCCTACAATATACCTATCACTACAGTAAGTGCTGTAATACATTAAGTGTATCTTTACATGTATTCAGTCTAACAGACTGTACTTCTACGGGCAGTATAAAACAGTGTCAATTTTAACATACTCACTCTCGCTATTATTTTAAAAACCTTGGGCCATTAAAAATTATATGTTACTTTCTTAATTTGAATTTTTATTTAACAAATATGGTAGCACATGTTTTTATATTTTACTGATCATTTATATTGCATTTTTTGGTTAAAAAGTAGTGTATTCGTTTATAGCAAAGTACCAACAGAAATGTATTGTCTCACTGTCCTGGATGCTAAAAGTTCCAGATCAATGTGTTGGTAGAGTTTCCCTTTCTTTGAAAGTGTCAGGGAGAGTTCTATTCCAAGTCTTTATTTTAGCTTTTGGTAGTCCCTTGGCTTGTGGCACCATAATGTCAATTGGCAGATGGCATTCTTCCTGCGCCCTCACAGTGTCTTCCCTTGTATATGGGTCTGTGTCCAACCCTTTTTGTAAAAACACCATTCAAATTGGATTAAAGCCCACCTTAATGAGCTCATCTTAAATTTGTTATCTGCAAAGACACTACTTCCAAATACTATCACATTCTGAGGTTCTACTGGGTATAAGGACCTCAACACATGAATTTTGGAATGATTTATTTCAATCCATAATATCCAGTTTATAATCTTTGTTAATTTTTATTTTGGTGTGTTCCTATATTTTTATGAGTTTTAAGAAGAGTAGAAATAAAAGCCTGCATTACATGTCTGACAATTTTATTTCTGGTTTGTTTTTATCTTTCAATTTTGTTTATATACTATCGACATACAAAATTTGTATATAGGATTATTCCTTCAGCAATTACCTTTAGACATGACTTTGCCATATAAATATTAGGTAAAGAACAACCCTTACTTAGATTTCTTAAGTTTCAGTTCTTTAAATTGCTTAGTAGAAGCTATATATTTTACCCCTTCAGAATCACTCCTGCAACTCGAGCATTATTTTTCACACTGGCAGAAGAATTTACCTAACATATGCTTCTGATTTCTTATTCCTTTCTTTAAAATCCCTGAATGGCTTTTCACTCTTTCTATTGTAAAAATCTTATTGCGGAGTATGATCTACCGACATTTCTAAGATATGACCCTTGCCCATTTTCCCAGCCACATCTCTGCCCACTCATATACACACCTATGTTTCCTTCTAATCTAACCATCTGAAGTCTGAAAAATGTACCATGTCCTCTCAGGCCTCAATATCTAGTCATTAACTGACACAGATATATGCATTTCAGGACTAATTCCAGGAATTACATCATATGCATTGGCTTTTATCTGGCAATTCTGAGTATTATATGTAGTATGTAATCTACAAAAGACTGTGAAAATAAACAATTATTTTCGTATTGTAACAAAATTATTTCTACATAAAGAAGTGATCATTCTAAGTGGAGTCATCAGAGAACTTTGAACATAGGCTGCAGAAACAGTTGAGCAGATTGTGCAAAACTGGTGGGACAATAAAATCAGAAGTCCAGAACCAGATTGGGAGAAACTCTTCTCAGTTATTCTCTGGTGGCAGACTAATGATTCTGAATGCACAGAAATTATTCCACAGATATTTTTTAAACTTTCATTTTGAAATAATTTTAGACTGGCAAAAGAGTAATGAAGATGGAACAGAAAGTTCTTGTATAACCTTCATTCAGTTTCCCCTGATAATAACATCTCATACAACCCTGGCGTGGTCATCAAAATTAGTAAACTAACATTAGTGCAAAAAATAGTCATCAAACTCAGAGTTTATTCAGATCCTACAATGTTTTCACTTACATTAATTTTCTGCTCCAGGAAATGTATTCTTA
Organism: Homo sapiens; assembly: GCF_000001405.40. Taxonomy (NCBI): domain Eukaryota; kingdom Metazoa; phylum Chordata; class Mammalia; order Primates; family Hominidae; genus Homo; species Homo sapiens. The sequence goes on along the minus strand of NC_000004.12, from coordinate 96,155,209 downwards.
TTTATAATGATTCATGTCTCCTTCGTCTCTTCCATTCTGTGATAGTTTCTCAGCAGTTCCATATTTTTTATAACCTTGACACTTTTGATGGGTAATTTTTAGGTATTTTACAGAATATTACTCAGTGTGCATTAATAGAATGTTTCTCAAGATTAGATTGATAGGACAGATTTGGAGAAATAATACCACAGGGGTGTCCTGCCCTTCCCATCAGGGGTACATCTTACCAACATTACTTATTCCTGGTGGTTTAGCTTTGGTTGCTTGGTTCCGGTGGTGTTTGCCAGGTTTCACCATGGTAAAGTTACTACTGATTTTGCCTTTCTATACTTTATTGGTCAGAAGTGAGTCACTAAGACCAGGTCCCAGACAAAGAGAGGGGAATTAAAATCTACTTCCCGAAAGAAGGAGTCAAAAACTTGTGGTCAAATGTTAAAACTACCACAGTAATTATTTTCAGGACATACTTTAAGTATTCCAAATATGCTCTCTTCTTTTTATCCTTTAATTACAGCATTCCTGTTTAATTTTCTATTTCTGTCATTGTTTCTACATTCACTATTTAGAATTATGAAAGAAATACTTGTTCCTTTCCCTCATGTATGCATTCAGTCATTCATTTAATATCAATATGAATTCATGGATATTCTTAGGTTATAATCTATTATTATCATTGGTGAGTGTTTTTTCTCAAATTGCTTCAGCTTTGGCTATTGAATATTATCTAAAATTGACTGCTACATTCTCTTTAAAAAGTTTTAATTAAAAAATTATTTTAAACTTTCTATTTAATGGCACTGAAAAATGTTTTAGGTTAATCATGTATTTTCCCTGATTAGTTCACAGAATTAGCTATTCTCCAGGAACCCCCGTTTTCTTTTATTAGAGACTGATATTTAAAATCTTAGATCCAGGGACTAGGTATGCTGTTTGTTATTGAAGTTTCACTGCTTCTAGGCCCTTTTAATAGAGAGAGTTAGGAAGCATATGTATGTATACTACAGAAGTATACACATACATTTATATTTATTTACATATTTTACCTATCAGCATCTATGTTAAAAGAAACATACATTCATAGTATTATCTCCAATTTTAATTCATCACCACAAAGTTTATCCTACCCTTCCCCTGCTTACTTATTTTAAAATCTACCTCTGACAATGAGAAACTTGAATCCCATTATCTATAGTTTATCAAATCTAAATACATGTAAAATTGTTTTAGAATTGCTAATTCATAGACCTGTGAAAATTAAATTTATTAGTTGAGTACACTGCTTATTATGTATGGTGATGCTTGTCTGTGGCCTTGTAGTATCTCGTCAAACACTGTTTCCAAAGATACTTATGTCAGTTCCTTTCCCCCCATCTCTTTGGTGAGATTATGTCATACATTTCCAGTTATAGTCTGTATTACATGCTGGAATCCTCCAACGCCCTGGTTGATTTTCTTAAAATTTGCATACATTAAAGTTCTCATTTTGTGGTGTCCAGTTTCGAGTTTGATAAATGTATATAGTTAAGTTTCCACTGAAGTTTCTCAAAGCACAATTCCATCACGCTAAAAATTTACTTGGGTTGACTGTATGTAGTCAAACCTTCCTCTCACACCAAACTTTGACAATTAGTGATGTATTTTCCGTTCCTATAGTTTTATCTTTTCCGAGGATAAAATAAAGACAATCATACAGTAGTGGTATTTGCAGTCTGGTGTTTTTCACTTAGCAATTCCTTCAGATTGAGTGAATAGGGTCTTTCATTTCCTTTTTCCTTTAATTACTAAGTAGTATTGCATAGTATAAATGTACCTGGTTGTTTTTCTTTTAATCCAACAACATCTTGGTTGCTTCCAATTTGGGGTAATCATGAACAAAGCTGCTGTAACACATTCCTATACAAGTTTATGTAGGAAAGTCTAATAAGTTTTTAATTCATTGGATGAATAAGTAGGAATAGGACTGCTGGTTGTGTAGCAAATGGATATTTAACTTTATATGAAACTGCCGAAGTGTTTTCCAAAGTATCTGTACCATTTACCATTTCCACTAACAAAGAAAAATGTGCGCAGGATATGTATGCTAGAAAGTACAAAACACTGATGAAAGAAATAAAAGCTCTAACAAAATGGAAAGATATACAGTGTTTATGGATTGGAAAACTCAATTTTGCTAACATGACAATTTTTCCCAATGTAACATATAGATTGAAAAAATTCCATTCAAAATCTAAGCAAGCATTTTATAGACATAGGCAAGCTTATTTTAAAATCCTTATGGAAGATCAAACTAACTAGAATAGTCAAGATAATTCTGAGAAAAGAACAAAGTTAGAAAAATCTCACTAAATAATTTTAAGACCTATGAGGATAAAAAAGTCAATGAAACATAATAGAGTCCAGAAATTGACCCATGCAAATATAATCAATTAACTTTTGACAAAGTTGGAAAATCAAATCAGTGAAGAAAAGATAGCCTCTGTAACAAATAGTACTAAGACATTTGGGCACTCATATTAAAAAAAAGAGTCCTGACTCATATCTCCCAACTTATACAAAACTTAACTCAAAATGGATCAATAAATCATAGCATAAAGGTAAGAAATGAAACTACAAATCATCTATAAAATACTCAAGAAAAATCTATTTGATCTTAGGCTTGTTGATAAATTTTTACATACAACAGCAAAAATATGACCATAAAGTAAAAATGTATACTTTATCAAATTAAAACATTTTTCTATGCAAACGACACTCTTAAGAGAATAAAACCACAACTCATGGATGGGAAGAAAATTTTTACAAATGAGTGCTCGCTTCAGCAGCACATATACTAAAATTGGAATGCTACAGAGAAGATTAGCATGGCCCCTGCGCAAGGATGGCACGCAAATTCGTGAAGCGTTCCATATTTACAGAGAAAAAAAAAGAATAGAAAAAGAAAATTTTTACAAATGACATATTCAGAATACATAAATAATACTTGAACCTCTTCAATAAGAAAATCAATGACCCAGTTAAAAAGTGGGAAAATTATATAAACAGACGCTTCACCAAAGAAGATATAGGATGGGAAATAAGCATACAAAAAAGACTCAACATCATTAGTTCATTATAAAATGCAAATTAAAACCACAAGGAAATACCACTACACATCTACTACAATGGCAATCTTTTTTTAAAAAAAAATTCAGACAATACCAAATCCTACCAAGGATGCTGTACAGCAGGAATTGTCCCTCCACAGATTTTTAAACTGTACATACTTCATTGCATAACATGGGTTTTATTGTTTTCAAATAATCCCTTTTGTTTTTATTAGAAAGTCAGTGGTAAATAATTTAGCCAAGTATGACTAGATTTTGCATTACTTTCCTTTTCCCTCACACTCAATTTTTAATTATTTTTCTTTCAACTGGATTTGTAAATGAAAGTACATTTAAAATTGAGCAGGTTGTCTCAATTTCAGAGGATGCTTAGGAATCAGCTTGACTAAGTGTATAATTATAATTGCTAACCTTGGATGAAAGCAGAAATACCAGCTAAGTTCTGTAGCTTACAGCATGGCACCTGAGAGAAAGCTATTCATTCCTGTTTGGGTAAGTCATACTAAAGCCCATGTGGGGCTAGAAGAAGATGTACATTACTGATTGGAAGAATCAAGGTAATGATAATTGCTAATGAAGACATCTTTATTAACAAAATACTTTTTGTTAGCTCCTAAAATATATTTGGTATTTATTATATGTCAGGTACCCTAATACATGCTTTGCAGTCCTGTTCACACATAAGAACAAATTACTAGCATCTTATTAGAGAGAAATACTCCAAAATAGAATAGCATTATTTTATTTTCTCATTTTAAAAGTTTCCATAAAACTAAGATATTCAAATATAGCTTCATTACACAATATGAATAAAATAATATTGATAGTTATTAGCCAAAAGGAAATATGTATGATTCAATTAAATATGAAAGATGATACAAGATAATTTTCTTGAATATTCATACTTAATGGATATTTGCCATGATAAAGAAAACATGAGCTTCAGTATGCCTCAAAATTTTCCATTACAAAAAAATTTAGACAGACTTTCAGTGAAAAAATAAGAGAACACACTGAACTTTTCACACCACTGAGACAACCTCCTCAATTTTAAATGTACTTTCATTTAAAAATCCAATTAAAAGAAAAATAGTTAAAAGTTGAGTATGAGAACAAAGGAAAGTAATGCAAAGCTTACTATTTCTAAAATATGTGAATTTAGTGGTGACCATAATTATGTGTACTGTGTACTAAAGTCTACCCGATGACAGGAAAAAGCAAAGGAAACTGTTTACTCTGGTGTTAATATTATTTTTAATATTTCAGTTTAAAATATTACCAAATAAAGAGAAACATTGACAATAAAATTTTCATTAGTCTGAGGGGAAAGGAGAAAAAAAGAAAAAAAAAGGAAAGTGATCTATGGAGCTGACGCAAGCAAGCACAGTAGGAATGCAGTGGAAGATAAAGCTCAGTTAATGGTATGAGGAAAAATGAACGATGAGGCTCAGTTTAAAAAAAAAAATAGTGATTGGCAGTTTAACCCCCAGTGGTCTAGTGGTCTAAAGGCAACTTCTAGACTCTCTGATTGTGAAAGAAAATACCTCCACAAATAACACTTAAGAAAAGTGTTATTACAAAGAAGGGAGTTTTAGTTGTACAGTAATTAGATTTTAAAGGAGAAAAGAACAGAACACTGCTTTAGATGTTATTAGAGGCAATAATACTTAATGATACATTTCAATTTTAATTTTACTTAAATTATAAAATTGCAAGCCCCACTGTTTCCTCACACATCGCAAGCTCCTCCTCTCACACTCAATCAGCATTTTATGAAACGTTCTTCTTAATTAACTAAATTGTTGTCTAGCCAGATATCTTGACTTCAAGAAAATGGATGTCGGGGGATTTGCTTGACAGAGGACCTAACAGAGTCTTCACGCACAACAGCAACATGACATTGGCTCTGAAAGAAATTTATAGTCCTGCTGAACAGAGGTTCCGCTACCAGCAGAAGAAACTGCTCTAGAGGCGCGATGACTAATATGTCACCACATCAGCAGTTCCTTTATGGAAGCAGAGGAAGAACACCCAAATAAATCAGATTTGTCACAGACCTAAATGCCATTAGGCATGTCAGCAGGGATCTGAATTAGGCATCTCAGAGCAAAGGATGGGAAAGTTTCCACTGCACTTTTCTGGGAGCCTCTTCCTTAGCAACCAGGCAGCCATTTTGGTAGCTCATGCCCTACGTGTTTCCCCTAAAGATCTTCCCTAGACGTTGTTTCCAGATAATCCCTATATTTAATTTATTTTGGAAGGCAAACATGGGACTAAATAAGCACAATATATGCTACAGCTCTTCTGTGTCCTTTTTGAGCTGTTCCATCTTTATAATTCTACACACAAACTGTAGTAATAAGCAGTCTTTATTTCTTGAAGTATATGAAGAAAAAGCTATTTAAGTAATTCGCCCATTTTGTTTCCAGGACAAGGGTATTATCATAAAAATGACTATGTCACATACGCAGAAAGAGTGTCTTGCAAATTATATATTTAACAGTATTTATATATAACTCAGATATATAATATATAAACTAATTATATTTAATTTTGTTGTCTAGCACATAAGTAAACATAAAATAACTTTTAAAATCTACCCAAAAAGCCCATTTGTATTTTATAATATTAATGTGTCTCTTCACTTCAGAAATTTTATAGAATATACCCTAAAAATTAGAAGAGTGTTGGGCACATCATAGATACAGTAACTATTTGTTGAATCTTTGATAAGTTACATTTTTATAGGAGGAAAAGTTTTGACTTATGAAAAGTTTTGAGTTATAAGGGCTATGACTTTTCCCGCCCCCCGCCCCCAGAAATATATAGATGATTCGATTAAAAAGTACAGGATTCCATTTCCATTTGTGAAGCAAATATTTATACAACTCTGCTGCAACATGATTGGAAATTGCTAGAAAATGAATATGCAAACTTTCAACAAAAGTGCCCCTTCTTTTTATAAATACTTCTAAATGTTTACTTCTTTTTATTTTTTAATTGGCACATAATAATTCTACATATGTATGGGGTACAGTGTGATCTTTCCATACATGTATACACTGTGTAATGATTTAATTAGAGTAATTAGCATATCTGTCACTTCAAATATTTATTATTTGTTTTGGGAACATTCAAAATCTGCTCTTTTAGTTATTTGAAAATCTGCAATAAATTTTCGTTAATTATAATCATATAGTGCTATAGAAAATTAGAACTGATTCCTACCTACCTTTACTTTTTTATTTTTTTAAATTTATTTATTTATTTTGAAACAGAGTCTCGCTCTGTCGCCCAGGCTGCAGTGCAGTGGCGGGATCTCGGCTCACTGCAAGCTCCGCCTCCTGGGTTCACGCCATTCTCCGGCCTCAGCCTCCCGAGTAGCTGGGACTACAGGTGCCTGCCACCACTGGGCCCGGCTAATTTTTTTCTATTTTTAGTAGAGACGGGGTTTCACCGTGTTAGCGAGGATGGTCTTGATCTCCTGACCTCGTGATCCACCAGCCTCGGCCTCCCAAAGTGCTGGGATTACAGGCATGAGCCACCGCGCCTAGCCACTTTTTTATTCTTTAACCAACTTTTGTCTCTCCCTCTCCATTTACCAGCCTCTAGTAACCGCTATTCTAGTCTCTGCTTCTTTGAGATTAACTTTTTTAGATTCCACATATGAGTGAGAACATGCTGTATTTATCTTTCTTTGCCTGGCCAAATATTTTTGATTTAATATATTCATTATAGCATATATATTTCAAAAATCAAAGATAATTGAAAAGATGAGATTTGGGGGAAGAAAAAACATAATTTCCTGGAACTCCATTGATCACTGGTAGATATTCAGCTTTCAAGACCCTGAGATATTTTTCTAACTCTTTGGATATATATATAGTTACCAGCTACTGTGAACGACAAGCAATTCCAATTTCATTAAAGAACTTGTCTAACTGAATTATAACTATCTATGAATGCATATGTCTCCCCTACTAACTGGGATCTTTCTTTTTCATTAAATTGATATTTATTTACTGGCTGTAGAGGCACTGGGGATTCAAAGATGAAAAGCATCTGTCTTGTGATCAGAAAACTTAGATTCTCACAGCAAGACAATTATGCACTGAAAACATCCATTACTATCAGGAAATGCTCATGATGACAATAGATACAAAGTGCATTGTTGATGGGATAGAGCATCTACTGATGAATAAATGTGTTTAAATATACTTCATAGAAAGAATTGTGGAACAGCAAAAAATAAGAGACATGATGTGAAATGATATTGACAGAAATGCATCCCAACTTATGTTTTCTTTAGATTTTAGAGATAACAATTCACTTGTCCTTTAAAAATCACATACTTGGCAACCTGGACACATTTTAATCCACTTGAAAGAATCATGAGAACTCTTCTCACGGCAGGTGAATTTTGAGATGAGGTCTGAAGGCGAGATAGGAGGGAGTTAAGTAGACAAAGGCTGGGAAAGATGACACATTTAAGTGGACAAGAGGAAGTAGAAAAAGGTCTTATAAGCAGGTAACAACTGACATAGGTATACAGAAATGAGAGACTATAAAATGTCCAGGTAAGTAGTAGTTCAATATTGCTGAATTGTGTCATAAAAATAAGAAAAGAATTAGATTGACACTTAGAAGGAAAATGCAGTAAAGTGTAGGATTTTTCTTTGATCCCAGTTCTCTTAAAAAATTTCTATGTATTGTAGTCATTCAAGAAGTTAATTGAATGAATGAATGAATGAATAAATTATAATCTGAAAGTGCTGGATTACCTTGGCAAAATACTATACAAATCTTCTTATCCTATCACACTTTCTCTGTACTTTTACTTAGCAAACTTTTTGTGATAGTAAAGTGAGCCAACCCTGCTTAACATATTCAATTTTGGATCTACAGAGAAGCAAATGTCTAGAGGAAATTAAAAGTGGAAAATATGTACTGGGGACTGAATAGGAGAAGGGAAAAGAAGGAAGAGGGAGACTTCATGCCACAGTGCCGGTCTGATGCCTGTAAAATGAGAGAGGGGGAAAAAGAGGTTGGGAGAATCTCAGGCTCTAACACAGATGCAAGAAATGTTTGGCTAGGCACATAGTGAGTACTCAAGCCCAAATTCCTCATAAGAAGAGTCCTGCATCTCACTTAATAACCCTTCAGTAGTACTACTGCTTGCTTAGTCATATATTGGTAGCAGGCCATGGAAAGAAGAGTGTGGTCACAAATGCAATGCAATGGGGGATCCAGACAGGCAGCAGCTGGGGTCAAGAGTCCATTACACTCTTTGTAGTAGGAAATCTAAGTGGCATATTTGCATGGCTGCCACAATATATAAATCTAAATGGAATGTTCTCTGAAGACTGACTAAAACATGGTTAAAAATCATATAGAGACCATGTTCTGAAAATATTAGAATTATCTGTCTCTCAATTCATCTTTGTGAAATTGTAGTTCTCTGTGGTCTCATAAGAGAACACAGCTAACAAAGCACTCGATTTCCCTGAAATCATGGCTGGAGTGATAAGAGAACAAACTCAAAAACTACCTGACTGATTGTAGCCACATTTTGGGGAAACAAAAGATTGTAATACATGCATGTAAAAACCTTAAATATGTAAGGCAATTAGCTGAAACGTACACCAGAAACATCTATTATGGTATTAATGAACTAAAGTCAAGAACAAAGAAAATGAAAGTTTTAAATTATGAACATTATTTAATGTCATTCTACTGCTCTTGTGCTCTTTACTGATTAGAAAGAAAAAAAAGCAAGTTGTTTTCGTTGTAAAATATATTTCAAAGTTTTGATTATTTTCAAAATTTATCTAGGGAGAAAGCAAGATTTTCATAGATATATGAATATTAATTAATAAATAACAAAGAAACTGGAGTTTATACAATTTAAAAAAAAAAGAAAAACAGAGTTTACCAAATGGAATAAAATTAAGCTCACCAAGAATAGCATAAATAAAATTTGTCTCATTTGCCCTAAAATATTCTTTATACATTTGATTCTGAAAACACTATTAAATGCCAAGCATTACAGGATGTACTATAAATAAAAAATTATCCTGAAAAATAAGAATATAATGTGCCCCTTGCTTTTGAGAGCCTCAGAGCCTAATAGGTGAATTTAAAATAGTAGTTACAGTAGCATGGACAGTGCTCAAATGGTGATGTAAGAAGACAGAGGGGAAAATGTGTCACTGATGGATTCTAAGCAAGCATTTTAGAATAGCCACATGGTATGAGTCAGAAAATAATGTTCGGCCACTTGGGAAACAGAGTGTATCCAATGTAGAAGGAACAATATATGCAAACACTGAGACTGAGAAGTTTCAGAAAACTGCACATAATTCACTGTCACTGGAGAGCAGCAAAATAGAGGAAGGAAATGAGTCTGGGACCTGCATGCTACATTGTTTCTCTTCTTATGGACAACAGGGATATAAAAGAACTTTGATGAAGGAAGTGACATGACCTGATATACCAATCTGAAATATTGGTTATAAATATAGTAAGATGGATGAGAGTAGTGTAGGGAGACTGGGCCAGGAGGCATGAAAAAAGCTATTATAAAATTCTGAATAAAATATGACCGGAACCTGAACTAAGGCAGGGGCAGTGACCACGGAAAAGGATCAGTATGAGAAATGATAGATTAGGATGATGGACTGTCATTCCCTGTGAAAGATTAGAGACAGTGGAACAGAGAGAGAAAGACCTCACATGTATCCCTGACTTCTTGAACGAACACTAGGATGGCACACTAGGATGGCACTCCTAACATAAAGGATTCTGAGGAAAGTCTTTAGATAGAGCAGGATATGACTTGGCTCTGTGTCCCCACCCAAATCTCATCTTGAATTGTAATCCCCACATGTTGAGGGAGAGACCTGGGTGGAGGTGGCTGGATCATGAGGGCGGTTTACCACATGCTGTTCTCATGATAGTGAGGGAGTTCTTGTGACATCTGATAGTTAAAAAGTGGCATTTTCCCCTGTGCTTGCTCTCTCTCCTAACACCATGTAAGACATGCCTTTCTTCCCCCTTTGCCTTCCACCATGATTGTAAGTTTCCTAAGGCCTCCCCAGCCATGCAGAACTGTGAGTCAATTCAATCTTTTTTCTTTATAAATGACCCAGTCTCAGGCAGTTCTTTATAGCAGTGTCAGAAGGGACAAACACAGAGGGTATCACTATTAAGAAGCTAAAAATATTAAAAAAAGAAATTAACATGAAGATTTTTAAAAATTTATTCACTATTTAATGTTTAGTTGACTTATTCACCAACTATTCAACACCTCCCATATGCCAGGTACTGTTTTAGTCCAAAAGATTACAGCAGTAAAATGGGCAAGAATATTTGTTCTTTAATAGCTTATATTCCAGTGGAGGAAGTCAGGAAATAATCAAACAGCTATAATATGTAATATGAGAGATTTTTATGAGAGCTGTGTAACAAAGTAGTGGAGGACAAATGGAAGTACAGGGACAATTTTAATGTTAAAAGGGCCAAGAGGGCTGCACTGAAAAGGGGTCATTTGAGCTGAGACATGTGTGGGTTTCTGTGTCATCCATGGGGATATTGGGAAGAGGGGAGCACTGTGGTCACAGGAAACAGCATGTACCCAGGCCTTGTAGCTATGAGTAGGTCCAGTGTATTGAAGTGACAACCAGGAGTAATTATGTGACTGGAGCAAAGTAAGAAAAAGGGAGGCTAGTTGGGAGTGTAGTCAAATTCATAAGAAGAAGCCACATTATGGGGACTATAATTTTTATTTTTGATATAATGAAAACCTGCCAGTTAAAAGTATTGTTTTCCCCTGAACACTTAATAACAGTTTCTTTGCCTCTGAAAATTTCAATATAATTTTTAGTTGTATATGTTCTAAGTTTTGTTAATGTTACATGTTTCTCTTTACAATCATATTCAATCAGATTACAGTACACTCATTTGAATTAGCATCTGAGGCTAAAAGCTATTTGGACATACCTAATGCTTTGTGTGAATGCCTCAGTTCCATTTGTAAAGTTTTTTAAATCATTGCAATGCCTATTTTTACTTATAATTGATATTTATTTTTAGTCAAAAATACATTTTGACTGATGCTTATTTTTAACGAAAACATATTGAATAGATTGATATGATGGCTATAGCACTTCTATATGGATGCAATAACAACACTGACCAAGTCAAACATTTGTCAGTTACCAAAGTATTGGCAAAATACGGGATTAATTAGATATAAGAAACTCAATCTCAGAAGTGACAGTATATTACAAATAAAAATGTGTCAGTTCCCTTTGTAGCGTAAACGTAAAATATTAGTTGATATTTTATAACTAAAGTTTCTGCAATCAAATATGTGTGGGAAATTGTTTAATTAAACAGCACTATTTGTATTTAGTACAGAACAAGGTGGATGGTTGTAGAAATGAATCTACTAAAGAGATTCATATGGTATATAGTATCTCCCAAATATATTTGTCCACAGTCTTTTCTTTAACACTATCTCCAACTAGGATATGTGGCATTCACATTTGCTTGCCCTGAATATGTGAATCTGGAACTAGGTGCAGAGTCCCTTCTAGGACCCACAGTTTGGGCTGTCATTACTCTATGCATCAACACAGTAGGCAACCATTACCACTGCTACTGCTAATAATTAATGCTTATATGGCCTGCACCATGTGCTAGATGCAGTTCTAAGTGTTTGACACATGTGGACTCTTTTAGCAACAACTCTGTGAGGAGGGTGTGCTATTCTTACCCTTACTTCAGACAAAAGGAAATTAAAACACAGAGAGGCGAAACCTCTGGTCAAGGTCACACAGCTTATAAGCAGCTGAGCCAGGCAGATAGGCTCCAGGAATTATGCTGTTTGGCTCCGGATATATTTCCTCTCAAATAAATCACTAGTATGGCCCTTATTGAAGATTAGCTATAGCCATTTCTGTTACAATTCTAGGATATACTCCTCTTTTTCATCATACTGGCTATGTCCTAACTGCTTTTCTCTGTTTTTATGTGATTCTCTGCTCCACCCATTTCCACTTCTGTGTCTCACTTAGGTCCTAGGGCTGTGATGTCAATTCCCAATCTCTCTAATTGCTTGAAATTTATTCCTTTAAATTTTAACCTTTTCTCCTAATACGCAGTCTTTATCAACTATATTAAAATTGGTACAGATATTTTATAACCACAATTGCACAAATGTTGAAGTTTTGACACTGCTATATGAGAATCTTCTGCAATAGTTCCTTGGTTTTCTTTGCTGATGTGGAAAAGCTTTTATAAATGCATTCATGTTCCACATCTCCTCACCGCTATCTCCAATTTTGTTTGTTTTACAAATATTTATGGATGTCTACCACATGCAAGGCCCTGTTCTAGTCCCTGTAGATGCATCACTGAAAAAAGATACCTACTCTTTGGTTGGCTTACATTCTAGTGGTAAGTGAAAGATGCTAAGCCATAATATAATTTATCTCCTTTTGATAAATTATATTATGCATAAGAAGATGAGAAGTGCTAAGGAAAAAATAGAACATAAGCATAGATTAGGAAAAAGAGGTTGGTGGGGTAGGTGTAATGTTAAGGCTAAAAAAAAAAAAGAAAAACTAGGTTTTATTGAGAAAGTAAGCTATGGGGAAAACTTGAAGAACATGGAAAATATTTTCCAAACTCAAAAGGATATTTAGGAGAAGAAAATTTCAGTTTGGGGTCTGAAGGAAAGACCCTAAGGAAGGAGTTTGCCTAGAATATTCCTAGAACTGTATTGAGGCTAATATCCTGGAATGGACTGAGTAAGAAAGAGAGATTAAGAGCTACAATCAGAGAATTAATAATGGCCCTGACTTTCAGGCCATTGTGAAAAGTGGCTTCTACACTGAGTGAAATGGCGAAGCCATTGTAGAGCTTTGAATGGAGAAGAGACATTATTGGACTTACGTCTTTAACACATCACTCTGGCTTTTCTGCTGAGTGTGAAGAATTGGGCCATGGGGAGAGGTAGTTGGGTTTAAATCAATGCTACCTGTTAGAAAGCTACTACATAATCCAGAGGAAAAATGATATACTTTAGATGGTGGCATGAGTAGTAGAATTAGGAAAACTTATGGAGATGAGTTCTGTGAGGAGAGAGAGCCAAGAGGCATAAATAAATAAATAAATAAATAATGCAGAATTGAGAGTTCTCAGCATATGCATATTATTTAAAGATACGGAATTAGATTAGCTCATATGAGGATATAGATGTAGAAGGAGAAAGGGAGAGGGCTGGGACTGAGGTTTGAGACTCTGCAGTACTGAGAAATATGAAAGAACAAGAGAAATCAGCAATAATCAGTAGGAATGTCTAGTGAGTGAGTGAAAAACCAGGAGATTGTAGTGTCCTGGGAGCCAAGGGGAAACCATGTATTAAGAAGGAGGAGGTATCTTTAATAAGGAAGGTTTTATGCTGCACCTGCCCCTGATGCCCCATGATGATTAAGGGAATCACGGCCTCCATTCGTTGTACCATACTCTCCCTGACCCCATATTATGGGGTTAAAAGAACTTAGGGGAGACGTGATCTTCCAGTTGGTTTATTAACTGCCAAGATAATGGTTTCTGCCATTACTCCAAAGTCCTTTCCTCTGTGGTTATTTCAAGGGTCTTCCTTATACCACATGACTTGTTGCTTTTGCCAAGGTTTTGCTGCTTAATGGTTTTAAGACCCTAAGAGATGGTTTACATCAGGACTTGGGAAATGTTCAATAAAGTTATTCTGATTGGCTGAAACCAAAAAAGATAAATACGAAACATTTAAATTTCTACCTTGAATATGTTTTTAAAGCTTTCAAATTGTCTAATAAATTACCTGAAACTGGTAGTTCGATATCATTCCCTCTCCCTGAGAATTTAATTTAAAAATTTGTTGAAGCCAATAAACATAATTAGTAGGTTCACAGTACAACATTTTAGCATGGTAATTTCATACTATTTTCTTCTTTTTTCACAGAAAGAGCGCTACATGAAAGTATAGGATGGCAAGTAATTTAACAATGATATTGAAACACTGGTTAGTTTCAATAATCAGTGTTCCTGGGTTCTTCTTCCCCAGGAACTCCTCATTGTAATTCTGTGTAATTGCAATATATAAGAAAAAAAAAACAGAATGGCTGATTATTATATCCTCTTCATGCTTACACTCTCAAATCAAAAGAAGCAAAGGCATTGTGTGTGTGTGTGCACGTGTGTGTATTGTAGATGGCTCTGCATACTCCTGCTGGTAAAAACATTCTTAAATACTTACTTTTCAATTAATTCAAAGATATGTCTCTGCATCTTCATTGCATTTATCCTATTGAAAGGACATCTTCACCTTGTCTTTCCCCAATATAATTACTGTTATTATTTTCAGGTGAGAAATAAACTAATTTTGGATTAAATCCCAATTAGTATCAATGCTTAGCATATAGATATGCGGTATGTAGACTATATAGAAACATTTTATGATTAGTATTCATGTTCTAACTAGTGAAGACAAGGGAATATACCATTATGATTTTATTTTTTAAAGCACCCCATGGATTTGCTAAGGAGTGATTCTAGAGCTAAGAACGTTTTTAATTAAACAACTATCTTTTATATAGGCAATAATTTTTCTGCAATATTTAAAATAAATGATTGATTGAAGAGTATATTATGGGTTCACATGAACTTGTCATTAAGTTATCTTGTCCAGAATAACTAGATTTCATTGGACGAGATTAAGATTTGAGCTTTGTCAGAACTTTGGGCAGAACAACACACCTGATGAAATCTGCAACGAGTCTAATATTAAGTTAGCCATGTTTTAGTAAAGTGGTAAATTCAAGATGGTATCTCCAAATGGAAATACTAGTATTTATTTTGGTAATAGCTTTATTTATTAACATTAAAAATTCAAAGAATAAACTTACACTGTGACTTACTTATCAAAAAAATCATACTTCTTTTTTCACTTCAAAATGTTATTTTATACATTGCAGTGAATTCTTAGATGGTATATTTGTATAAAACATTCCTAGAGAGAAATATGAAATGCAGAGAAATTCCGCAAAAGAAAATGCAGAGGAATATGCATTTCATATTACTCTCTAGGAAACTTCTTTTAAATAAGTTATTCATAGAGAGATGTGACTTTTATAGAAAATAAACACAGGTTTAAAAAACTATAGGTAAGCAAAGAAATGATCAACACCAACTCAGGATGCTGGTTATTTCTGCGTGTGAGTTAGGAGAATGCAATTAGGAAATTACACACAGTGTCCAGGTGCATGCTTCTACTTCTTTATTTATTTTTATTTTATTTATTTATTTATTTGTTTGTTTGTTTATTTATTTATTTATTTATTTATTTATTTATTTATTTATTTATTTATTTTGAGAGGGAGTCTCACTCTGTCGCCCAGGCTGAAGTGCAGTGGCACAATCTCGGCAACCTCCACCTCCTTGGTTCAGGCAATTCCCCTGCCCAAGCCTCCTGAGTAGCTGGAATTACAGGCGCATGCCACCACGTCCGGCACCTTTTTTGTATTTTTAGTGGAGATGGGATTTCACCATGTTGGCCAGACTGATCTCAAACTCCTGACCTCAGGCAATCCGTCCGCCTCGGCCTCCCACAGTGTTGGGATTTCAGGCGTGAGCCACCGCGCCCGGCCGGCATGTTTCTACTTCTATCCCACTGTTTCATGTATCTCATAGACTACTCACTTTAATTTTAAGTGACTTTTGTTCTTTTTCTAGTTTTGGTGATCTGACAATCATCTCTTCTCTAGGAGAGACAATGGCAAATATTTAAAGCAAATAGATAGGTTTGACTAGGATTATGGAGGAAATAGGTAGTGTCACATTTTGAAGAGAAAATAAACCAGCTCTTGGTGCAGGAATACATTTCACTATCATGAAAAATAGTCTTTGAAACATAAATCTTTGTGGATTTTTATTTCACTGACCAATCTAAGTGAAATGGAGTTAATAAACCCACTGTGATTATTATTTATGATTGGTATTCATGTCCTTACTATTCATGTATGTAGACAAAGGAGAATGTATGTAGACAAAGGAGTTTAAAATAATAATTATTTATGTAATAGAGAGATCACAGTTACACTATGTTCGTTTTCTTTTATGGGTCCAAATAGCCGCATCAGACTACACATGCTGCCTAGGCATCTTCTCATGCCCATTGGCACGACATTGATCACACAGTTAAATGCACAGAAGCCTGAGCTGCCAGGATTCATCATTAGGAAGCTATTTATCCAAAGCAAACCTTTCAATATACTTTGTCAGCCTCGAACAGTGACCTGGAGTAGAAAACACGAATTGAAATCCCAGCTGTGCCACTTACTAGTGAACTTGCAGCAAGTCATTTTGCTTGACACTCTAAATCATTTGTGGAATAAAGCATGGTGCCATAAAAAAATGAATAGATAAATTTACTTCATTTTATGCCTGTCAACTTGCTCTTCCACAAAATAAAATTTAGCATATAGCTGTGTTGTAAAGATTAAATGAGATAATATATGTGAAAGTGCTTGGTAAACACCAAAGCATTGTACAAATAACAGCTACTATTGTCTGTGACTTTCCTTTTTCTTTCAAGTAATTTACCACTAACCATGTCTCGGTCGTTCACTTTAAAAGAATTACGTTTTCTCTTATGATTTCTTCATTATTAAATATTTTTTGAGCTGATAAATTTCTCTTGGAAAAGATGAGACTTTCCTAAATTGTAAACAATTATAACCACAGAATGAACCAATTTTCAGTGAAATAAGTGAATCAAATGACACATTATAGTTTAAATACTTGTCTAATAAAATAAAAAAGAGTGTTCATAATAGATCACTACAGGAAACAGAAATATTTATAAGCGGTGTTGTAAAAGAGTGAGCTCGACAACCTTAGAGAAAAGTGAGATCTCTCCATTTAGTGTTCTTCTCATTCTCAATCTGATTATTTTTGCGTACTTAGGTTTGACAATACAAACCATGTTTGTTCAGAATAATATAAATGTATATAGTATTTTTGTTTCTTTTTAAAATTAGAAAACGAAAATGTATAAATCAAATTTCTCAAATGATGAAGACTCATGTCAAAATATTAATGGACTATTATAGATTTTCAGAAAGATTTGAGACTATGAGAGTCACATGAGTGAAATAATAATAATTTTTCAAACGATTGAGTTCACCAACTTTGAAAATACATCATATACATTTGGTAACAAATTTGGATTATTTTGGTAGAATGTTTTTAACACAAAAAGAATGTCTCAATGACCAGGTAATGATGTCATTCTAAGAGACTGAAATAAATTAGAATATGCCATCCTTCTGATATTTGATTGTGTATCAAATTAATGTATGTAGACAAAGGAGTATAAAATAATAATTACTTATGTAATAGAGGGATCCCGACTAAAATGTTGGATAATGAAGGCAGCAAGCCTATCCCATCTTTATTGTATATTTCAATAGCCTTCACACTTTGCTTTTTTTTTTCTTAAGAGACAGGGTCTCACTCCATCACCCAGGTTGGAGTGCAGTTACATGACCATAGCTCACTGCAACCTGGAACTCCCGGGCTCAAGTGGTCCTCCTGCCTCTGCTCCCTGGTAGCCGGAACTATAGGTATACACCACCACACCTGTCTCCTACACATTGCTATGTATGATTTGATTGCTCAATAAATACCTAAAACACAAAAATAGCCCATGCTTCAAACCAGGCCACTTGAAGTCACACCGAACTTACTGATACTCTGTTCACTTTTACTTTCATGTTGATTATTCTCTTTGCCATGAGTATTTGGATTTTGATAGTTTCTATTGATATGTCTACAAGTTTACTGATCATTTCTTCTGTAATAAATATTCGGCTTTTATTTCCAACCAGTATATTTTTTATCCCAGATGTGGTAGGTTTTGTTTCCAGAAGTTTGATTTGGGTCTTTTTATTACTTAAGTGTTTACTTATCTTTCTGAAAGTATGAAATGCTATTATAATAACTGTTATCATCTATTTGCCAGATAACTCTAACATCAGTTCTGAGTCAGTTTTTATGTATTTTTCTTCTCATTGTGGATAGTATGTTCTTGCTGCTTTGCATGACAGGCGTCCTAGTCTGTTTGGGCTGCTATAAAAGCATACCATAAACTAGGTGGTTTATGAACAACTGAAACTTGTTTCTCATAGTACTGGAGGCTGGAAGTCTAATTCCACTGGCAGATTCAGTGTCTGGCAAGGGCTGGTTTTCCAATTCATGGACTATGACTTCTCACTTTATGCTCATATGTTGGAAGGGGTTAGCTAGCTGTTTGGGACTTCTTTTATAAGGGCACTAATCCCAAACATGAAGATTCTGAATTTATGACCTAATTATCTCCCAAAGGTCCCACCTGCTAATACTATCACCTTGGGGGTTAGAATTTCCACATATGAATTGCAGTAAACAAACATTCAGTCTATAGCACAGGGTTATTTATAACTGGGTGCCAAACATTGTACATTTTACCATTTTTGGTGCTGAATATTTTTATATTCCTATAGATATACTTGAGAAAAAAAAATTCTGGGATGCAGCTGATTTACTTGTAAAGAGTTTGATCCTTTTGGTTCTTCCTTTTATGTTTTGTGGAAGGGCCAGAACAGCATTTAGTTTAGGGTTGAGTATTCTGAGAACTCTACCTTATTCCCCATGAACTATGAAATTTTTCTGTCTGGCTAAGCAGAAACAGACACTATTACTGGCTGGGCTCTCTCTATTATTTCTAATGCTTTCATGTGGTTCTTGCCTCCTGAATCACCCTGAAAACTCTCTCAAGACAGCAAACTGTGGAAATCATCGGGCTCACCTCGTTTATTTTTTAGCTCTATGAGATCACTGTACTTCATTGCCTGATTGTGAATTGGATTGCAAATCTTTGTTTCATATATTTGGGTTTTTGGTTGTTTCAGGAAGGAGGGTGTATCTGCTCCCTGTTATTTCATCTGTTTCAGAAACAGAGTTGGGATGTGTTTTTAAACAAAGCTTGTAATAAAACAAAATATAAAAATGGCAAATAAGAATAAAAACAATAGAAAAAACAAATTTTCTTAAAATCGTCAATGTAAATGGAACATAATGTTAGATCTGAACAATGCCTGCAGAGTTTCCTGAACTTATGATACTTCGCAGAATCACATAAGACCTATTGGGCTACCTATAAAAGCATATACACACTACTACCTGTAGTTGCCCTTAAACTGATGGCTGACCCCTGCTAAGTATTTGGCAAATATAGTTAGATTCTTGTAACCAATGTGGCAACTATTGGTTGTTAATTTGATTCAAAATTGAGAAGAATTCAATTTACAAGAGAAAGGAGAAAAATGAATTGGACAATTAATCAACTTAATCTCAAGACTGGTTTTGTTTTTGTTTTTTTAATCAAGAAGTTAAAAATGATACTAAGGATACTTAAAGCCTGGGTGATAATGCTAAATGTTGCCATAAAAAAGATAAATGGACATTGTTGTGTTTGGTTATTTCAAATTTTTAGACACCAAAAAAAAAATGAAAAGAAAAAAACATTTCATATATGGCAAAGTAAAACTCAACTTAAAAATCAACATACATACAGACAAATTTGTTTTTTCAAAATATCTATTCCAAAATTATTTTTAAAAATATTTGTAAGCTGCTTTACTGGAAATTGAATAAATTTTTTTTTTTTTTGCATTTTTAGTGGATTTTTGAGGATCTGTTTAAATCTTTTATGCATATCACTGAAAATTCACTTTACTGCTGAATTGCTAATATATAGCTTATTTTTAAAGTGTTTACATTGCAAAATTTTTAAATATGTTTTTAATTTTTTTACTTGAGAATTCATTCAAAGAGAATCTCAGAAAGAATTACAAAAGCAAGACTTCATAAATGCTTGTATTTCTACAGAGTGGTAAGTAGTGACAAGTCTATTTCTACCAACATATTGTATGCCAGACAACACCTGTAAAGAAAGCGCACAAGGAACATTAAGTATCTGGAAATAGGAAAATTACTTCTGCTGATGGGCAGTTGAAACCCACCCAGGGAAGACAGAGAGAATAATGGCATCTCTGTATTTATTTTGACAAACCTATGACAGCACTATTCTGTTCCTTGATAGACAAACATAATCTTTGAAATATGTTTGGAGATTCCTTGCACTTCAGCTTGTTTCTTTCAAGGCTGCCTTTGATCACAAACCAAACCCAACCGAATGAAAAAAAAGTTCATTGTTCTTGTACATCATAGCTAACCTAGCTATTTTATCTTTCTTACTGGATTTTAATTAGTATTTAAATGAACATTAACAGAAGCTTTAAACAGCCGTTATATAGCGTGTTTATTCTGCCTTTATCCCTGCTATCCATTTATTGGCAGTACAATAATTATTATTGTTCTATGATTTAACAGCAACAATACAAACATTTCTATCCTACTAAATTTCAATTCACTTTGATAACAATAAAAAAATCCCTAGCACAATGATGTTATATCCATAAGCCCTAATATCACTGTGTTAAGTAGGCCAAAACTTTTATGCTCTTATAATTCTCCCATATAGTTCCAGTTATGTTGGCAAGTAGCAGTGTGCATTGTTTTCCAGTAATTGTTTGAAGCACAAGAGGAATTCTGAATGCATATCTAATGGAAACCACATATTAGAATTCTGGCCATTCCTGTAGAGCCAGAGTACCAAATTTACTCTAAATTTTGTATTCAGCAGAGAAAAATACTACAAAATATAGTTTCAGGGATATGATTCATGTATGGTAGCAGTATAAATATAGAATGGGAAAGTAATTGCATTTCCTGTCTCAATATTAATATTTGTGATTTGTGTCTGTAGTTAACCAAGAGAAATTAAAATATACTACCACCATATCTGTAGAAACCTGCTGTCTCTAAAAATATTCTGCTTTTGAGCAGATTCAAACCAAAGACTCTATACAAAGCAATATATGTGCCTTTGCAACTGTCAGATAAATTCATGAATTATAAGTTCCACATTTTTAAAAATTGCTACAAATAAGAACCAAGACCACCTTCTAGAAAAACAGGTAAAAATAAACAAGGCCTTCACTTTCTTTAAGACAATATATAATATAACAAATTCAAGTTTAAACTCTGAGAGGAAATGTGAATTTAACCCTACTGTCTGTCTAGACTTCTTAAGAGAGATTTTTGACTAAATTTGTATAAAACATAATGTAATCAAAGTTTGAAAAGTTAATAGGTCACGCTTGATGTTCAAAACCTCTTTGCCATTCACTAAGAAACCCAACAACATATGTGCTTATCTTAGTCGATTGGATTTGGTGGATATTTGAAAAGCACCCTGTCAGTGACTAGAGGTATGACCACGAATACCTGATTTTAAACACTTTATGTTTGTATTTCTCACACTTAAATGAGAAATTTTCAAACAGGTCATGGTGTCATGTCAAAATGGTCATATGCCTATTGAATTAACAGAAAATGTTGATTGAGTACAGCTTTTCAGACTCCTTGCCACAGCTCAAGGCCACTCTGACATCCAAGGCCCACTGGATAGGAGCTTCTGGAGAAGATTTTTCCAGAGGGTTCTGTCTAAGATGATTTACCATCATCCTTTACTCCTAAAATGACATATATTATGGAACTGAGGCATCTCCATGAATTGTATAAAACCTGTACTCTTTCTCTACATAGCTATTAACCTAGCAATGCGTTTGTGGAAAAACCATGTCAAATCATTTAACAAAGTATTATTATGTGTGAATATAATTGCCTGGTACTGCACCTTCAAGCTCCTTCAAACTATTCACTTTTTCTAAAAGTGTTTATTGCTCCATATTTTGTCTAGATTGAAAGGAAGATATTGTTATGTAAATAGTGTTACTCAGAACAGAATCCTTTATCTCCATTTTTCTCTTTCTATCATGGTTGTTTTTATCCATGAAAGTCAGACCAAAATTATATCATGTATGAAACAGAACAGTGCAAAATAATGCATATTATTAGAGATGCTGAACATTGTTAGAAACGTTGGCTTTGTTGTGACACCAGCCAAGACCAAACTTATGCAAATATATTATTACACATAGTAAAAATACTTTAAAAATTAACCTTAGCTCTGCCTTTCAAGCCAGCTGTAAGCAAGAATTTGCCATAATATTTTGTTTATTATGTGCAGGTACAATTTTGTTCATTTTTCTATTGTGGACTTTTCAGATGCCAGAGCCATAACAGATCCGCAGTTTTCAGCACCATGCACAACTGAAGAATTAAATAGCTATTTCTGTTGCTGATGATACTACAAATAATGGTGATTTCATGTAAAGATAGTTCAGGCCACATATCTAACTGCATACTTGGAACATAAAAATCCTCCGAAATTTTACACTGAAGGAAAGGATGAAGTACAAATTGTGTAAGGGTTGACTTTACAGTTTTCTTAGGGCAATAGTCTGCTCTATGAAAAACTGTTAAGCTCTTTTCATGACAGAATACCTTTATGACATCCCTTTCATTCCTCGTTGCCTTCTATGTACTATCTTCTTATTTTCTAAATCATTTCTGAATCATGATGAAAACAACATTTCATTATTCTGACAGATTTCCAGAGGAAATCACACATGTGTTTCTGTGTGCACACACACAAACACACAGAGCACTATTTATAGGAAAAGAGTAGCTCTGTTAGTTTCATGGCTCTGAAGCAAAGTTAGATTCACTTACCAATTCGCGATCCATCATCTTTCACCAGTCATTGAAGTTCAGGGCTGAACACTGCATGGGCTACTTGTCATTTGGACCAAGAAAGAAATAAAAAATGGTATATACCGATTTCCCTTGACAGCAGAGACACAGATGGAGAAGATGTTTGGACCATATTGTCTGCTTTAGGGTCATCCCTGAAGCCATTAGCTATCATAATGATGAAACTGTAGTTACTTATTTTCCCACAATTTTCTGATGTGGCAGAAACAATGTTACATTGGGGGCCTGAGTATTCTTCTAAGAGGTTATATTGTCCTTGGGAGGAAACAACACATATGACAAAATATTTTTTGCCTCTAGAAGTAAAAATTACAAATGAGAGATTAGAAACGTTATGCAACATACACTAATATTATTACCATGCAAGATTAGGCTTTCATACTATTATTGAAACACTTATGAGGTATATATGCTGTTTTTGGAGTTCTTGACTCAGTACTTTTAGTTCCTTTGTCGGTTAAGGGTAGTATTTAACATCTTCTGTTTATTTATCTGTTGATTTTGTAGGTCAGACAGTAAACAAATATTTCTGAAAAACAATCTAACATATACCAGGGCTGGTGATATGTTAGGAAACAAAACAGACCAAAAAGCATTTAAAAAATACCTGCACTGGTAGAGCTTGAGTCCTAGTAGGAGAGACAGACAGTAAAACACAAAACAAAACATTCATTTTTATAATAATTAAAAAAGGAAAAGTACTATGCAAAAAGAGAGGGAAGCAAATGGGAACACAGCACCACTATGGCAGAAGAGGAGAGAGAAGGAGGTTTGGAACTGCAATACTATGAGCTTGTCAGGAGAAGCTTTCCTGAAAATATAGCATCTGATCCAAGTCCCAAAATAAGGAGTCAACCACAGGAATGGCTGGGGAAAGAGCATTCTGGAATGAAGAACAATCCATGCAAAGGCTGAGAGGTGGGAGTGTGCTTGTCATATTCAAGAAACAGCCAGGAGGCAAGTGTGGCTGAAACAAAGTGAGTAAGGAAGAGAATATAGAAGAAGACAGCACGGAAATACAAGTGTAAAATTAAAAAGGGTATTTTAAGGCTAAGATAATGACTGTGGCTTTTAGTATGAAGGAAATGAGGAGCCACTGAAAGGAGTTCAAGAAGAGCAACATGATCTTAATTTGTTTTTAACCCACTAAAGGAGGGGCAAAGGTAAGTGCTAGGAAATCCTTTAGGAGCACAGGCAATAATCCAGATGAAGAAAATAGATAATGTATAAAGAAATAAACATGATATGTGCCCTTAAGGCATTATTTGTAGGAAACATAGGCATGTGAAAATTTAATCTTACTATAGACTATTATATGTAATAAATAGTAAGTGTACTTAACCTGTATTTTGGCACCAGGAAGGAGTGATCGATTGTGATTGGGTGGAGACGACCATGTTTCACAAAGCAAGAAACAAAACTCCGTTTTTTAGAACTATTCGCATTATACAAACTAAATTCAGCCTTTGTCAAATGATACATCAATTTTCTCAAGTATTACATCAAAATATGCTACTAAGCTCATTGAAGGGGTAAGAATAAGAAACATATGACTTTACAGATTGTATAATTTGAAAAAAATCCTGAAGTTAGTGCGTGCCTGGGTGTGTGTGTGTGTGTGTGTGTGTGTGTGCGTGTAATAGCTCATTTGGCTCTAAAAGGCTTGTTAAAGTAAAACAAACAAAACTAAACAAAAAACAAAACCTTAGCTACCTATATTCAAGAAATAACATTTCAATTATAAAACATTAGCTATATTATAAAGACAGAATGACTGATTTTCTTTGTATACTTTTTACAAGCTTTCCTCTTTACTTGTCATTTAAGTTTCTCTCCTCTTCTTGGAGGTCTTTCTTTCTTCTTGAGTAGCATCAAAATCCATACCAATGATTCAGACTTGCAAATATTTACAAAAGATTAAACAGGTTATCAGAGATGTCAACCAACCCACATTTCTACAGGAGGAAAACAGACTGTACAGAGCATAAATTTCATGAATTATTGCTTATTGTAAGTCACCATTGAAAAGGCTTCATAACTCATTGGTTTCTTATTGAAAATGTACCCATTCGACCGTGAGAGATGCTAATGTGTTGAACTCCGAAAATCAAGCTCTGTTTTGTGGTTTCCAAAATGCAAAATTGAAAGAATTAAATTAAGTTCAACTGTATTTTATTTTCAATTAATGACATTCATATTAAAGATGTCTAATTCTATTGAAGTAGGTAAGGTTACATTATAAATTATATAATATCCATAAAGTATATTTAGCATGTACTGTAAAATATTAAGCAACCAATAGGTTGGATGTTGCTTTCTGACTCTTATTCCCAAGTGTTCCTAGAACATCCATTACAATACTGGTTCTAAAAAAGGACTAAATTTAGAGGTTTAAAAATGCAAGTTACAACAACCATTCATCCTAGAATTTCATATACAAAATTATCAGAATCATAAAATCTTCCCATTTACATATCATATAATATTTTGTTTTATATAAATATGCATACTAATTATATATTTATAAAGACTTTATATGTAAATAATTATAAATATAGTATCATAGATATTATAATGTTTTCATTAATGAGTAATTAAATCTCATATGCAAGTTTATCTGAAAATATTTTTCATCAAATCATCTTTATAATTTGTGATTTTTTAATAGCAGAAAATTAGTTTTGTATTTTCACTTAGAAAAATAATGAAATAAAGATCAGACATAGGCCGGGCGCGGTGGCTCACGCCTGTAATCCCAGCACTTTGGGAGGCCGAGGCGGGTGGATCATGAGGTCAGGAGATCGAGACCATCCTGGCTAACAAGGTGAAACCCCGTCTCTACTAAAAATACAAAAAATTAGCCGGGCGCGGTGGCGGGCGCCTGTAGTCCCAGCTACTCGGGAGGCTGAGGCAGGAGAATGGCGTGAACCCGGGAAGCGGAGCTTGCAGTGAGCCGAGATTGCGCCACTGCAGTCCGCAGTCCGGCCTGGGCGACAGAGCGAGACTCCGTCTCAAAAAAAAAAAAAAAAAAAAAGATCAGACATAAAAAATCTTCATGTAAATGAATCATTTTCAGTGGGGAAGTGATCTGGCTTGTCATTCGCTCCCTTGGAATAGGCAATCCCATGGTATACTAACATTAAACCATCTTTAGTTAATGAAGTTCAGAGTAGCCACAGCAGTCTTATAATTTACATTTTAAGCCCAAAAAGGGTTCAGGAAAACATAAACTCTTTTCATGCAAAAGAGAAGAAGCTTTGGTTCTGAAAGTCCACGTCAAATGTATCTGGCCTCAGGTATATGTACTACATTTATTCCATTTGGGAAAGTGGCTATTCACAGATTATTTTTTAAGGATGCAATGTCCAATGTCCTTGTGCAGTAGTGGATTTGATTCAGGCATCATCATACAGATGTCAAGCATGACTGGACAGAGTAAACTTCCTTCTTTTTTTTTTTTTTTTTTTTTTTTAAGATCGGGTCTTCTCTGTCACCCAGGCTGGAGTGCAGTGGTGCAATCTCAGCTTACTACAACCTCTGTCTTCCAGGTTCAAGTGATTCTCCTGCCTCAGCCTCCCAAGTAGCTGGGATTACAGTTATACACCACCACGTGGGGCAAACTTTTGTATTTTTAGTAGAGATGGGGTTTCACCATGTTGGCTAGGCTGGTCTCAAACTCCTGACTTCAAGTGATCCACCTGCCTTAGCCTCCCAAAGTGCTGGGATTACAGGCATGAGCCACCATGCCCTGCCACAGTAAACTTCTTTCTAAATCCCATCTTGACTAGAGGACTTGTCTTTCCAATTAGAAAATAATTTAAACATTTTTGCAGTTCCTCATCTATGTCCTCTTGAATGAAACTATCTACTTGCTCCAATCTATCTTTTAAAGGCTATTGTTGAAAGGTCAGTTGAAAAAACAGACCTACTTGGCAGACATTGAAACTACACTGATTGAGGCCACCTAGGACTTCTGTGTTACCACTGCAATGGCAATTGCTGGTAAGAATAAAAAAAAGGAGAGCTAAAAAGTAGAACCAACTTTCTTCTTTTAAGAAAAATACTTAATAACGTAATTGACACGAAAGAAGTAAGATCTTGATAAAGCTTTAATATATTAACAGAATGTATCATTTTCAGTTCTGAAAATTGTCAAAAGAAAAACATTCTTTAATTATTGTTTTTGTGATTTCCTTTTTATGTAAATAGTTTTAAAACTCTCAGAACTCCACAAATTTATTTTAGAATTTTTGACACTTTTATAGAAAAAAATAAGTGGTTTAATGCATGCAGAATTTCTGTTTGAAATGATGAAAAAGTTTTGAAAAATCATAGTGTTGACGGCTGCACAATAATGTGAATATACTTAATTCCACCGAATCGTATACTTAAAAATAGTTAAAATGGTTCAAAAAAAGAAAATTTCTGCAATAAGCAAGAAAAGTAAGGCATATATGCAAATAAAGTTGAAAAAAGCATTCATTTTTCAAAATGCACCTTTTTTACTCCTCTAATAATGCCTATTTACAAATAAGAAGCTAAAATATACATAGGAAAGCTGGTTACTTTCACTGAATTGACATTCACTTACTAATTACAGTTGGGCCATTTTATTTGTAATTCATATTAGCTTTCTAAATGTGCATTTAGAGATCGTGACATCTATATTAGTCCTGAAAGAAGAAACATTAAAAAAAAAATAAAAAGGAAGAAAGGAAGGGAAAGAGAGAGGAAAGGAAGGGAAAGAGAGAGGAAAGGAAAAAGAGAAAATCTCTCCTGTCCTTCTTGTCCTTTCTCTGGTTGACTTGAAGACTCTTCACAGATCGGTTAGATGAAATATAATTGTGCTTTGTAGACAACGTTTGAAGCATTTCTTAGGTATTAAAAACATAGTTTTTTAAAGCTAAGCACATTACTAGCATAAGAGGGCATTAGTACTTCAGTAATCTCTCTTGATTACTATAAAATTTTTCCCATATACGTCATCATTTGACCATAACTGGGAAGAAGTCTTACAGGAAGAAAAGACATTAATACCTGGGAGATATTACATAGTTCAAAATAGAGAAGGAAAGGGAAGAAGGAGGGAAGGAAGGAAGGAAGGAAGGAAGAAAGGAGGGAGGGAGGGAGAGAGGGAGGAGGGAAGGAAGGGAGGGAGGGAGGGAGGGAGGGAAGAGGCTAGGCCTAATTGATTACAGGACTAAAAATGCAGTTTGAAATAGCTATATCAAGGATAACCAAAAAGGGAAGATGAATATGTTCCAACACAATGTAGGAAAATTGAATAGTTTTGTCTTTCATGGTAGAACTGCCTTGCAAGAGAAGACAGGAGAAAGAGTAATAGTCAGAGAGGTCAATAATCCAAGCGTTTATTGATAATATTTTACAGAGCAAACAAAAATTTAACTAAAGGAGTCATATCATTTAGTTGGGTACCTAAGAAATAAGGACATTAAACAATTATAGAACTGAATAATAAATTTGTAAAAGACAAGAATTGAAAAACTTATGCATGAAAAGGCTCGAGACCAATGCATTCTCATTTTATCTCTTTTTCTAACTCTTCCTCTTCCTTTTTCTCTTTCTTCCCTTTTCTTTCTCCTTTCCCATTTTCTTTTCCTGCCATGTCTTTTTCTTGAAAGAACTTTATTTCCTCCGTAATAATGACAGGTGACAACATGCTAGCACCCTCACTCACTCTCGGCGCCTCCTAGGCCTCGGAGTCCGCTCTGGCCACAGTCTGTGGAGGAGCCCTTCAGCCCACCGCTGAGCTGTGGGGGCCCCTCTCTGAGCCTGGCCGAGGCCAGAGCTCTGCTCGTGGGGAGGTGTGGAGGGAGAGGCACCGGCTCCCGCCGGGCGCCGCTCGGGTTCCGGGTGGGCGCAGGCTTGGCGAGCCCAGCACTTGGTGGGGCCTGCCGGCGCCTGCTGGGCGTGATAGGGGGATGAGCTCCCTCTGGGCTGCCTGAGTGCCCGAGCTAGGTGCCACAAAGTCCTGCAGCAAATGCCATTGAGAGGTGAAGCCGCCTGGGATTCTGGGTCGCGTGGGGACCTGGAGAACTTTTCTGTCTATCTAAAGGTTTGTAAACGCACCAATCAGCGCTCTGTAAAATGGCACTCAGCTCTCTGTAAAATGGACCAATCAGTAGGATGTGGGTGGGGCCAGATGAGGGAATAAACGCAGGCCACCCAAGCCAGCAGCTGGCAACCCACTTGGGTCCCCTTCCATGCTGTGGTAGCTTTGTTATTTCGCTCTTCCCGGTAAATCTTGGCTGCTGCTCACTCTGGGTCCACACCGCCTTTATGAACTGTAACATTCACCATGAAGGTCTCCAGCTTCACTCCGGAGGCCAGCGAGATCACAAACCCACTGGAAGGAACGAACAACTTCAGGCGCGCCGCCTTTAAGAGCTGTAACACTCACCGCGAAGGTCTGCCGGTTCACTTTTGAAGTCAGCGAGACCACGAACCCACCAGAAGGAAGAAACAACACATCTGAAGGAACAAATTCCGGACACACCATCTTTAAGAACTGAAACACTCAGCACAAGGGTCCGCGGCTTCATTCTTGAAGTCAGCGAGACCAAGAACCCACCAATTCCGGACACAATAACATCATACAAATACACATGGAAGTGGTATACATACACATAGCAGTGGGACAAATACATATAGCAGAGGAATTCTTAAAATGTATTTTAATTTTTTCATAAATGTACATACACATAGTTTTCTGGAAATCAAAGGCCGCCTCCTAGCCTTGTGCCCTAGAGGTAA
This sequence comes from Homo sapiens, assembly GCF_000001405.40. Classification (NCBI taxonomy): domain Eukaryota; kingdom Metazoa; phylum Chordata; class Mammalia; order Primates; family Hominidae; genus Homo; species Homo sapiens. The sequence goes on along the minus strand of NC_000004.12, from coordinate 96,125,504 downwards.
TAAGTTTAGCTTCTTCTGGTTGCTTTTTTCTAGTTTATCTTCATGACTTTAACAATAAAAATAACAAGTCTTAGTTAATCGATTTAGGCAACATCTATTGTCTTTCACTATGGTTGCAGAAATTTAGCTTCCTTTCTTGAGAAGCTCACCTTTTTGTCATCTTTCCCATATATTGATGTCTCAATTTTTGTTTAAATCAATATTAAACTTATGATAATTAAGTATATTAATTACTTCTGGGCAAGTGACATAGTAAATGTTATTGCTTTTTGTTGTTTTCATTTTTTCTGGATATATAACTACTGTTTTTCATTTGTGATGTATTTTATAGTTTAATTGGAGACAGTATCAGGATCAAAGGAGAATATAAAATATTCTGTATCGATAATTCTATTGTGAACTGGGTGGGGCTGGATTAAAAAGAAAATAATTTTTATAAATTGTCATTCACTGTTTGATAAGCAGTTTCCACAACTTATAAATTACTTATAAGTACTCGTTTTATGCAACTGTAGCTCGATCCCACAGGGAACCTTTGGGAGACTGCATAGAGTAATCCTTGGAGTTGACTCAGGGACAAACGGTTTGGGGATTCAGGCATCAAATCCTACCAGTTAGTGGCTGAAAGATGCTCCTAGGAACATAATTTCCCAGAACTTCTGGCATGTGTTCACACAGCATCAAATGCTTTCCAGTGGTCAAAGAAACCTTTCAAGCAAAGGTTCACAAGTGTTTGCAGTATAAATCTGTTGGGTTCAAGAACACACACAGGGACAGTGATTGCAAAAGGGAAATGAGTTAGGCACCATCAAGTCCTGCTTTCTTATCTTTCCTTCTCACTCCTGTAAAAGGGAAGCAGAAAGCCAGGTCTCTAATTACTCCTCAAAGACCCCTGCCTCTCTTTCACCCGAAGACTCACAGCCTCACCAAGCAGTCTGCATGGAGATGGTCAGTCTGAAACTAATTTTGTTCTTCATTCCCATTTACTTCAGACATGATGAGAAAGTTCACACTGATAGATTATGATTTTTCACCAGGACTCTTTTTTTTTTGAGACGGAGTCTTGCTCTGTCGCCCAGGCTGGAGTGCAGTGGTGCGATCTCGGCTCACTGCAAGCTCCGCCTCCCGGGTTCACGCCGTTCTCCTGCCTCAGCCTCCCGAGTAGCTGGGACTACAGGCGCCCGCCACCACGCCTGGCTAATTTTTGTATTTTTTAGTAGAGACGGGGTTTCACTGTGTTAGCCAGGATGGTCTCAATCTCCTGACCTTGTGATCCGCCCGCCTTAGCCTCCCAAAGTGCTGGGATTACAGGCGTGAGCCACCATACCCGGCCACACCAGGACTCTCATTCCATAAGAATCTGAACATCTTCTAATCAAACTCTTAAAATTAGTCCAAGGTACTCTGATATTTACACCCAATCATCAGGGAATCTCCCATATCCTAAAACTATTCTCTGGTAGATCTCTTCATGCTCTTGTTGTGATCGAAACCCTCCCCTCGCTGGGCAAGGAGGCCCAACAATTCATCTGCATGCCATATCTTTGTGCTCTTGCTCTCCCAGCTCACAGTTTTTGTCCTTCTCTCTTCAAATCTTTAACACCCATTTTCCTCCTTCCCACCCTAGTCATTACAATGATTTCAATTTCACTGAGAAAAGGGAGCAATTAGAAGACTTCTCCCACTTATTTCTGCCACCCCATCTGCCAGTTTCCCTGCTGTATACACATCTGTACTCCCGCCCACCACCCTGATAACCTGGAAGAACTGTGGTTACTGCTACGACATCTCCACTTAATACATAGTGGCTTTTCCCTACCAACAACTCAAGATTATCACTCCAGCAATTCTGGCCTCTCACATTAATTTTCCTCTTCTATCATATCATCTCCATTCAACATCACTAACCTTAAAAAATATATATACATATACATACATGTGCATATACATATATACGAAAACATATATGGTATATACACATTATACATATATGTATACACACATGGTATACATATATGTATATTATATATATTTACATGTATATATTATACATATATATGTATATTATATATATTTACATGTATATATTATACATATATATGTATATTATATATATTTACATGTATATATTATACATATATATGTATATTATATATATTTACATGTATATATTATACATATATATGTATATTATATATATTTACATGTATATATTATACATATATATGTACATTATATATATTTACATGTATATATTATACATATATATGTATATTATATATATTTACATGTATATATTATACATATGTGTATATAGACAGATATTAAATAATGTGATATAACCCGTATTAAAATAAATAAATTTTAATTTTAAACAAATCTCAAACTCATATATCCAAGAAGCTGCTGCCTTATTTTTCTTTCTTTTCTCAGCAAACTCCTTGAGTTTTCTGTATATCTTGTCAGGATTTCTTTACATTCTCACTTAAACTCAGTTTCATTGAAGTTTTTTTTTTTTTTTTTTTTTTTGAACAATGAGAACACATGGACACAGGAAGGGGAACATCACTGAAGTTTTTGATACTATCTGCTCATGCTTTCTACTTAGTTCTATTAAGGTCAAAAGATAATATCAAAATAATATCAAAAATGTTAAAAAGGAGATACAGGTTATGTTTTGGTTGTGCTGAATTGCATGAACTTAACAAAAATAACTTTCTGCTCTTGAAACTTTTTCTTTACCTTTGCCCTTTTGCAGTATCAAGTCCACCTTTGTTCAGTCTCTTCAAATCCCCACTTCACTTCTGCAACTGTACTTCCATACTTATACCCTAAGTGCCAAGGGTAATGGCTATTTTATGGCATTCATACTACCTGTGTTAGTCCATTCTTGCATTACTATAAATACCTGAGACTGAGTAATTTATTAAAAAAACAGGTTTAAGTGGCTCACAATTCTGCAGGCTTTATAGGAAGTGTGGTGCCAACATCTGCTTGGCTTCTGCGAAGCCCTCAGGAACCTTAAAATCATGGTAGAAGGTGAAAGGGGAGCAGGCGCATCACATGATGAAAGCAGGAGCAAGAGAGAGCACCTGAGGTGCACATGTGTTAAATAACCAGATCTCGTGAGAAGTCACTCACTATCAGAAGGACAGCACCAAGGGGATAGTACTAAACCTTACATAAAAAGCCTGCCCCCATGACCCAATCACCTCCCACCAGGCCCCACCTCCAACATTGGGAATTACATTTCAACATGAGATTTGAGTGGGGACACACAACCAAACTATATCACTACCTAAGCCCTCTGTCATATGATGCCTTCAGCTCCTTCCTTTTACTTAGATTCCAGAAAACCATGTTGTATTGTTTCTCTTCATTCTTTCTAACATCTATTTCTCATTTTCCTTTACTGTTGATTTCTAATGTCAGCCCCCTAAACAGTTATCTGATCTCCTATGCCCTGAGTTTGCATTCTCTGCCCTCTCCCCTTAGTAGTCACCAGGTAATCTCATTAATTTCCCTTTCTTATCTGTCTCTTCTTTTCACTGACTCCCAAATATTTGCCTTTCAAATTTTATCTTTATGCTGAGCTTCTGAGTTATACTTTTAGTTTTGTATTGAGTACTTAAAACTTTTTTTCTCATACCACATTTTAAAACATAAACTCAATCTCTCTCTAACACATACACATCCTCTTCTACCCTCTGCCTGAAATTAGGGACTTATCATGCATCCATTACAGGGTCAATTACCGACCATACAAATCATACCACAAATAATTCAAAATCATTATTTTAAATCTCTCTTGAATTAACTCTCTCATCTTCATTTCCACTACTTTTATTTAGGTGCCTCTTCATTTCTCACAATTATTACAACAGGTTTCCTATGGGTTTAACTCCCTGAAATAGTATCGCCTCATGACAACTCCAGCTGACTTTTTAGGCTAATGATTCAGTCTGGCACTCCCTTGTTTTAAATATTCCTGGCCTCTTGCTGGTTCTAAAATAAAGTCCAAGCTCTTTAGCTTGGGACACACGGTATTCTTCACTCTTTTCCTGATCTTTTCCCTCCTTCCTATGTTGCTTCTGACCACTAGTTCTCTTGTTCCCTATATTCACACCAGCCCAACTGGTCTTTCCCCACTTATCCTCAGGCCTTTGCATCTCTGTGACTTTGCCATGTTTTTCACCATTATCTGAGTGTTCTTCTAAATCCTTCTTCTCCAAACCTCTGTTTAAGATCCAAGTAACTACTAACTCTTATGCAAAATCTAAAGAAGACTTCATTCTTTCCGGAGGTTTGGTCAGAATAAAGAATTATTTCAACTTCAATGCTCCTGAAGCACCATTTATATATCTCTATGATAGCATTTATTTGTTGCTTAATTGTTATTTATAAGTGGATCCCAAATTTAATACCTTCAGACTCAGCAACCCCAACCTAATCACCCCTTGACAGAGAGAAAGAATAAGCATGAGTCCTAACTCAACATTGAGCCTTAAAAACTACATTTGTACCTTACTTCTACTGCTTACCAATTATGTAATCCAAACAAAACACATAACCTCGAGGCTACCTAGTTTCTCCTCTAACAAATTAAAATAATAATTATGCCTTCTTTTCTGGTTATTTTAAGAATACTCTGGGAAAATATATGTAAGGTACCACAAATCACAGTTCCTAGATCATGACATATAGCCTTCCTTCTTTGGTTCCTCTTTTTATCCCCAGCACAAAGCACCATTGTCAGCTCATAGGGAGTGTTAAATATAGTAAATATACATGAGTAAAACTATCTGTGTGCTGTATTCAGTGTATCCAAACCTCTCCAAGACTTAATGACTTAAAACAAGGACAATTTTTATTTTGTTCATGAATTTGTGTTCTGGGTTTGGCGAAGACAGCTTGGCTGTGTTCCATTCAGCATCAGCTAAGTGGTCTGAAGCCTGGGAAGCTTAAATCATTGTAAGATTTCCATACAAACCTGCCTGGCATTTGATGCTGCCTGCTAGGTCAGACCTTTGCTGGAGCTGTGGCCAGAACTCCTACACACAGGCATTTCATGTTGCTGTGTGGCTTCCTCACAGAGTGGTGAATGGGTGCCAAGAACAAGTGTCCCAAGAGAGAGCAAAGGGGAAGTTGTGTTACCTTTCATGAGCTTGCCTGGAAGTCATACAGCATCACTTTTGCCAAATTATGTCAGTCAGAAGTGAGTAACTAAGGCTGGTCTATATTCAAGTAAAGAGGAATTACACTTCATGTCTTGATGGATATAGTGTCAAAGAATTTGCACACATATTTTTAGGTCACTGTGCATCCATCTATCAGTGTCAATATCTATACCAGGATTTTGTGTTGAATATAGAAATGAGCCCATTTGAGAATATCTGGGACCCAACATGTGAATTAGGGATCTAGTAAGGCAAAAAAGAAAACAAAACAAGAAACAAACGTAGACCAGAATTTCAGAGACCTGGGTCTTAATTCCAGATGTGCTCAGCTAAACGCTAACTGGGCCTTAACTTCAAACAAGTCAAACTTTTTTTTTTTTTTGAGATGGAGTTTCTCTCTTGTTGCCCAGGCTGGGGTGCAATGGCGCAATCTCGGCTCACTGCAACCTCTGCCTCTTGGGTTCAAGTGATTTTCCTGCCTCAGCCACCCGAGTAGCTGGGATTACAGGCATGCGCCACCACGCCCGGCTAATTTTATATTTTCAGCAGAGACAGGGTTTCTCCACGTTGGTCAGGCTGGTCTTGAACTCCCAACCTTAGGTGATCCACCCACCTCGGCCTCCCAAAGTGCTGGCATTACAGGCGTGAGCCCCTGTGCCGGAACCACAAGGCACAGTTTTTAAGCCTCACTTATTCCATCTCTAAATTAGTGATAATAATTATTCTGCAGTCAATCTCACAAAGCTCTGAGAATCAGAAGAGATAACACAAGTAAAGACATTATGAATGCTACAACCTAGCTAAAATGCTCTGTTATTAGAGTGGGGGATGAAAGAGCAAAACCATCCTTACTTGACATAGCAATAGCAATTCACTCTTATCTTCATTAGATTTACCTCTTGGGAGTATTAACTCTTGGTTCTTTAATTTTCCTTTGTATAAGAAGTGAATTTTGACAAATGCCACCACTACTATTTAGGTACAAGAAAAAGTATTAAGCTTTTGAAGCAGGTATTTTGTAAGTATCCATTGTATCCATATGCACCACAGTGATATACCTCATGTATCTTAAGTTATACATTTCAAGAAAGTAAAGCAAGTGACATTTCACAATCTAAGTTTGTCCTGCTTAAAAAAATGGATTCTAGGTTTGTAGAAAATGTCAAAGAACATCAAGGAAAGTATGTGATATTTAAAATATCAAGCACCCCAATATCCAATATATAAAACAAAAAGGGTAACTAAGGTGTGCACTCTGAACAATATATGACATTTTTAATCATTCTGATTAATAATACCTTGCATTTATATAGCTCCTTTCCTTAAACCAATTTAAATCATTCCATAACTTCCCCATTAAAGTATATTATGCCTTTTTCTTCACCTTTATCTGATTTATTCATTATTCAACCTATAATACACTTGATGGTTCTTTTTACATTCCTTTACATTCTTTTTACGCTCCATATGTGTCCATATAATAAGATTCTAGTAATTGGGAGTTAATTGAAATGTTTATGGATCTATGAAAGAAAACATTCTATGTATTTGGCTGCATTTAAATGTAAAATGCCTCTTCAATATAAAATATGGTGAACAAAGTTCAAAGAGAAGCCATGACCTAGAATGAGATATATCAAACACATAATAGGCAAGAATGTGAATTCAAAATATATGAAATATTACTAAAAATAAATGATAAAAGAAGAAACAACTAAATCAATGAGTATTGAATACAAACAAGAAAGTCACAGAAAAGAAAGCCCAAATTCCCAGTAAACACAGAGAAACATTCCTGATATTACTAAAACCAAGGACTTATGAATTAAAGCAGTAAAGGAATGCCATTTCATATCCATCAATGGTCCAAGTTCTAAAACTTGACAAAACCCAGTTTTGCTGTAAAAATTGGAAACTCCCATACACTGTAAAAGTTGGAAGCTCTCATACACTGCTTTCTCCTAGCTTGCAATATTACATAACGACAAGTGAAGATGAAAATATGCAATGAAAAATAAATATTTTAAGAAATAGCTCTTAGTAGTAGCTATATCTGTTATAATCATTTTCTCAATCATAAAAGATACATTGAATGCATTCTGTATGACAGAATCCGTGTTGGATGTCAACTAGATCTAAGATAAAATGGCTTTAATGGCTAAGATAAAATGATAATGTATGTATAAAGGAATCTCTTAAATGTGGAGCACACAATAGGCACTCAATAAAAGGCATATTTAATAATATTTCCTGAAGTTTTGGGCTAACAGTTACCAATGTTCAATGTCATTGTACGTAAGTCAGTATGTGATCACTTATAAAAACAATATACTACATAGGTGTGTAAGTTTGGGGGTTAGATTTTGTCCTATTTGCAATCCCATCCTATAGGATAAATTCTTTTCAGAAATGGGGTTCTTGCAGCTTGGAACATAATTTCCAATGACAGCTTTAAATATGAATTCACAACGTGTTATATCTCATACAACTTTTATAGAAATGAAGTGACATGCTCAGTGAAAGTATGTTGGCCAACTCAAAAAGCATCTTAAGTGAACTGGATGGTATCAGTGCCACAGATACTGAAAGAGAGTTTGAAATGAGAAAGTGAAATAAGGCAATAATTCTAAATCAATTTGTTATTTTCTATAATGTTATACTGCATAAATACATATCTAAATTAATAAAATTATACCTTCTTTACCAAAAATGGGAAAAACATTTTTTTGTCTGTATATATTTTCCAACTGGGAAAGTAAAGGAAAATCTTAAATTTTGACACGTATTCAGATACACAGTGTACGTCTCCCTTGCTTTAAAATTCTTCAGTGGCTCCTGACAGCTAAGAGGACAAAGTTCAAGCCTCTTATGAAAACATGGAAGGATTCTAGATCTAGCTTTTACTTAGCCCTCCAGTTTTTATATTTTACTTTCCCTTAAACTTCAGTAAAACAGGCTATTTAAGATTCTGTTAAAGGGCTAGACTCTCTCCCCACTGTTCTTTGCTCTGTCTTACCTCCTGGCCCAAGGCACTTCAAAGCTTCAATTCCTGTCATCCCTCTTGTTTGAAAAATTCCCTGAGCAGAACCACTCACCAACTCCTTCTTTCCTTGCAGACCATCCTTTTCATATCTTTTACGTAGTACTATATCATAATTTTCTCTAAAAGTCTAATGTGATAAATAAGACTACACAGTTCAGAGTCAGACAGGCAGAAACTAGCATTCAAGCTTTGTCACTTAAAAGCTGTGTGACCTATGTCAATTCACTTAACTTCTCTGATTGTAAAATAGGGATAATAATATTTACTTATATAGCGTTATGAGGCTTCAATTACTTATAAAACAATTGAGGACAACACATGACACAAAGTGGGTATCAATAAATGAATGGTAGATGCTGTCATCGTTATTATTGCTGGTATATCATCATTTTTATTCCTTCCCCAAAACATGTAATATTTGTAATATTTTGCATAAATGGAATTTTTTTAATTTTTGCATTACTTAATGATTTGACTGGAATACATACTTAATTCTTAGGTGGATGAGTGAATGAATGAGTAGGACCTCGAGAAATGAGCAAATTCTCATATTATAGTTTGTCCCATAGAGAGTAGTGGAGAATAATCAAGTCTCTTTTCCTCCATTATACATCTACAGCACAAACCATGTACTCTTTTTCAGGGTATAAAAAAATCTCATTATGTAATTTTACTATGTATTATTGCAGAGAACTCTCACATTACCTAAACATGAGAAGCGTTTTGCACATTCAGACTCTTAAATTTTATCTTCTGAATTTAGTATCACTTTTTAAGGACAATCTGAAATAGTATGAGTTGTTACTAGTAATGCATACCTCAGAATTCTTTAGGCCAACAGCTGTCTAGCTGGTCTGACACTTAGATACAGATTCTGAGGAATCCAGGGTGAGGGGAATAAGTGTCACAGTGTCAGGGGCTACCAGCCACAGGACAGGTGAGGGAAGGGGTGAAAGGACAACTCAATGATTCATGAACAAATGGATCAAATGGGAAATGGAAGAACTGATGACAGTAAGAAAGATGAGAAAGCCTCCAAGTCCCAATGCCTCTGTCTCCCAGCATTTTATTTAAAAGGTTTCAACTATGGTATTCATGATATTGACATTGACTTATTTGAATGGATTAAAAGAACTCTGAGACTTTCTCCTTCTTAGGTGGCCAGATTATTGAACAGTCTAGTTTAATTCTGATAAACATTTTCCCAGTGAGGATTGCTAATATCCCCAGTGGACAAACTGGAGAAGCCACTGAAGGGCAGATAGATATTCTACTGTAAATAAATTGACATTGCCATTTATCACTACTCCCTTGAGAGTTTAGTCAGCATTGAATCCACAGAGCCTATAAGCCCTGGTAGAGCTCAGAAAAATTGAATTTCAGTATCTATAAGACTAAGTAGTCCCTGAAGTAGAATCAGGAACAACAACAACCGTCCAACTTTCCCTCCTTTTCCAACTTAAGAAAATCACACACACATCATTGTCATTATCCCCTTCAGCCTGCTTTAATTAAAAACACACATTGCACTTCTCATATGTCTACTATACACATGTCTCCTAATTCCAAACTCCTGGAACAAAATGCCCAGTAGGCACAGTGAGCAGGTATAACCTGTTTAAGTCCAGGTCCACAAGGACAGATATTACAAAGAAAAATTGACTTAATTAATTAAGATGTGGTAAAAAAGAAATGACCACAATGAAATCCACTGTGCCCCACTCTCTCAAATTTCCACAGTAAGAGAAAAGCTATGGATTTTTGTTTGCTTGTTTCTATCATTATTAGTTGAGTTGTCTCAAACTCATCTCAGAGAGTAAGATAATTGATATGGTTGGACTCTGTGTCCCCAACCCAAATCTCCTCTTGTAGCTCCCATAATTCCCACGTGTTGTGGGAGGGACCCAGCAGGAGATGACTGAATTATGGGGACAGGTCTCTTCCACGCTGTTCACCTGACAGTGAATGGCTCTCATAAGATCTGATGGTTTTTAAAACGGGACGTGCCAAGCTTTTTGTTTGATTGTTTTTGTTTTTGTTTTGGCTGCTGCCATTCATGTAAGATGTGACTTGCTCCTCCTTGCCTTCCCCCATGATTGTGAGGCTTCGCCAGCCACATGGAACTGTGACTTCTCCATTAAAACTCTTTCCTTTGTAAATTGTCCAGTCTCAGGTATGTCTTTATCAGCAGCGTGAAAACGGACTAACACAAAAATAAAGGCTTGTTTTGCTTTCCCTGCAGCAAATCACCTTTTACAGCCTGGGCTGTGAGCTCCCCACCAAATCTTATTCTCGATTCTCAATAATATCATTCATTATTACCCCAATGTGGATCCACCATCACAAATACTATTACAAAGATACAACAGCACAATTTCTCAGAACATTTCTGAAATGCATTCTTATTTACTTTTCATCCTTTTCTAAAAAGAGTAGCTTCACGATGAGGTCCCAAGCTTTCCAAACAGATTTTGGATAAAGTCCCTATTGAATTACATCCATCTAAATGCTATAAATAGCTCACCCACTTTTATCAGGGGAGTCTTTCATTTGAAATCAGAAATTCTCACAAAGAATTTCTGGGACCGTGTGTATTACATATATCACTAGAGTGCACTGCTTTGTTTCAGGACTCTCATTTAAAGCTCTGTTTAATCATCCTCAAATCATCTTATTCCTTATGAGGATCATGTGAATAGCCAGTGGGTCCCTTTCATGGGTGTGAAACTGATCCCTTTATTGATGTGGCCCCACTGTTCTGTCTACTCTCCTGGAGTGATGCTCTGGAAAAACAAAGTTGCCTGCAATACAGTTTCATGTCAAATTAGCATATGGCACAGCATATGGAATAACAACTAGAGGACTGGTTTCTCAGACCTGAGAAGGTACCAAAAACATATTTTCGGAAGAGACACATCTCTTATTGAAAAGGCAGCTGCCCAACACACAATTGTCTCCCAGTAGACTGGTACTGGCAAAGACAACTGTCTTGACTGAAAGAACACTGCCAAGAAACTGACCTTAGGGGGAACGGAAGAGAGCAGAGCATGATATTTATATTTCTTTAAAGTCTCTTTCAAGTTTTGAAAATCACTCCTAAAAATACACTCAACTGTGACTAGAAATATATATTTTCTAATATTTTGCACAGCCTGGCTTAAAATAAAGCAATTCAACAGATTAGCAGTATTAAACATATGCATTTAGGTTTTTCTAATCTTTCTCAGTTTAATAGTTTAGGACTTTTTTTGAAAACTGCTAAACCTAAGGTGTACTTTGGTATCCCACACATTCTGAAGAGAGAGCACTAATCTCTGATTCTTTCGTTAATTTGCAACTGTTGCAAAGTATTTCAGCATCACATCCTTTATCATACAACTGTCAGTAAAGAATATTTTGAAGATATTGTCAAATCCTTCTTGTGAGTGACAAGTTGTTTCACAGCTTTTTATTTCATCAACTTTTTAAATCTCATTAACCAGAAAACTCATTCTGTCTCAAAGAAATGAATTTTAATGTATTAAATATAATCCACTATAGAGATTCCCGGTGGGAAGAACATATGTACAAAAACCTCTAATATGTAGACAGAATATAGTGAGATTATCACAGCACATTTATGAAGTTCTTGTCTTTATGAACCCTTAATAAAATGCCTCTGGTTGCCCATGATATTCCCCATAAGCCTTTCCCTAAAATTCTAGCTCACATAAACTTGCCTCAAAGTTTTCTTTCCTTTGCCACCAAATGATGACTCATTTCCACAGCATCTAATTAGTATTTACAACTCTAATTGTCTTAATAGATAAGCCTAATTTTTTAAGTACTACAATGCTCATTCTCCCATTTTGGTAAGGCTGACATTCATTTATATGATATTCTAATAGTTCAACCACCACACCTTAGTCATTTTCAACATCCCACTGCCTAGTTAATATGTAAAACACAGTAGAGGTTCAATTTAAGTGTACCAAATTATATTGAACTTTAATATCTGATCTTTTCCAGTTGTCTTAATACATGTTAAACTTTGTCTTCTTTTTTTCCCCATCTAGTCAGGATTCTAAAATAAGCCATTTCATTAATATATCGAATACTCTGAAAACCAATGCCATTTTATGAACTATTTGGACTTCCTCAAGTTACTTAGCCATTTGAGCCTCAATTTCCTCACTGTAAGATCAGAATATTATCTTTAGTTTTAGAGTTTTTGTGGGAATCACAGAGTCATGCTACATGGGTTATTTAACTTACTTAAAGTGAAATACATTGGCTTGAGAAAGAGAGAATAAAGTAAATGGAATGAATGATTCCATCAGTTTTTCTACCCAATAAGTCTCTGCCCTGGAGTAAGCCTGAGATGAGGGATGTAAATCAGTTAATCTCTTTCTCTTAGTCAAAGATAAATATTTTTCATGCAACATAGTTCCAAAATGTAAGCTGCCAATTTCAAACAGAACTAGCAATCTGTTTCAGTGCTGAAGGAAAAGCTGGCTGCATTAGATTTAATGAAAAGTGTTCAATCTATGTCTTTCTTTGGAAATTCTCCAAGAATGTATTTCAGTATATGAAATGTTCATGCTGGCTGACTTTAGAATCTAATACTTGTGAATGATACAATTTTTTTTTTTATTTTACAATACTGTTTATTAGGCAGGGCGCAGTGGTTCATGTCTGTAATCCCAGCACTTTGGGAGGCCAAGGAGGACAGATCACGGGGTGAAGAGATTGAGACCATCCTGGCCAACATGGGGAAACCCCACCTCTACTAAAAATATAAAAACTAGCTGGGTGTGGTGGTGTGTGCCCGTAGTCCCAGCTACTTGGGAGGCTGAGGCAGATGAATCACTTGAACCTGGGAGGCGGAGGTTGCAGTGAGCAGATATTGCACAACTGCACTCCAGCTGGAGACAGAGCGAGACTCTGTCTCAAAGAAAAAAAAAAAATTAGTAATAATAATAATAATGTTTATAAATTGCCCTGCTCATCACCTCTCACACATTAATGACATTCAGTCACATTAGAGGTTTATTATTCATCATTTTATTATACAATAAAATAACCACAACTGCTAGGTGTTTTAGCTCCTTGATGGTTTATCATGTTTCTTACAGTGAAATTTCCAGTTTTCTCAAGTCCTCTGTTTATTTCTCTCCTTTCTTTTGTAACAGATTTTCAATATCCATTGTCACTCTTCAAATTAAGGTTATCCAGCATGAATATACCTTTTTTACATGTTTCCATGTCAAAGCATTTCATTATATTTAACCCCCTCTCTTACATTGGCTAGTCTCTGAGGAAGAATAAAGCTTGTCCAACTTAAGTCAATGACCCAAGATCTGTGTCTGGATCCTACCCACTCATACATCCTCAAAGGCTTTGTTTTACTCACTTTCACATTTTAATCTACACTGTCTTTCTGTTATGTGAATCCACCATCAGGTCTTCTTGGTATTAACAGCAAACTTCCTTTAAACTTGCTTAAAAGGAAGGAACAGTAGCTGGTCTATAAGCCATTGCCTCTACCTTGGACACATCTGGGGAAGGGATCTGTTACTTAAAAAAAAAAAAAATGAAAGTTCTGGGAAAATCTCCTCGCAAACACACTAACCGGACCTCTTGGTAGTATGTACTAAAACACCTTTATAGGAATATATCTATTCTATCTAGGCTGGAATTATTCTATTTTTGTCTGCTGGAATTTATCTGTGTCCACTATATAATTATCAGAGGGTAAAATTATTGGAGTATAAAATGGAGATGTTTTGTGACCAAAATAATACACTTTGTGTGACTGATGTCATGCACGTATAATTCAGATATGCCATATGTTAAATCTGGTCTGGAATGCATTTTAATGCAGAAATATAGACCTGGAAAGCTGCATTAAGTGTTTTCATATTTCATCATTCTTTCCCTGTGGCTTGTGATTACTCATTCATTTTTAAGAAAGGGTAAACAAATAATAGCCTATGAGTTAAAGAGTTATTTAAAAATGAAAAAAAAAATGTGATATTGACCATTTGTATCCTGTAAAGCCTAAAATGTTTACTATCTAGCCATTTGTAAAAAAATTTTTCATCAACCTCTGCTTTAAATTATTAGTGAAATTTAGTCCGTGGGTAATACTTTGCATTTAGTAAATCTGACTTGACAATTGATGGTTTGTGCCATCATACCTGCTATCCTCATTGAACTTCTTGAAAGCAGTAGCAAGAGTCAGCACCACAAGTTCAAAGTACTCATAAAAATAATTCTTATTTCATTTGCCCAGATATAGATTCACTCATACATAGTCATTTGATTTTCAACAAAGATGCCAAATCTTCAAATAGGAAAAAATATATTTTCAACAATGGAGCTGGAATAAATAGTGTGATGGTTAATTTTATGTTTTGACTTGACAGAGCCATGGGGTGCCCAGATATTTGGTCAAACATTATTCTAGGTAAGTCTGTGATGGCGTTTCTGGATAAGATTAACATTTGAATCACAGACTGATTAAACCAGATTACCCTCCTTGATGTGAATGGGCCTCATCCAATCAACTGAATAGCTGAATAGAACAAAGAGGTTGAGTAAGAAGAAACTGTGCCTGCCTGACCGCTGAGCTTGGACATCAGTCTTTTCCTGCCTTTGAACTGGAACTTACACCACTGGCTCTCCTGATTCTCAGGCCACCATAATTATACTGGAACTTACATCATCATTTATCTTGGTTCTCAGACCTTCTGACTCAGACTGGAACAACAGTATTAGCTCGCTTGTCTTCAGCTTGCTGAATACAGTTGTTGGGACTTCTCTAGTCCCCATTATTACACAAGCAAATTCATAATATCTATCTATCTACCTATCTAGCTAGATGATGGCCATGAGACAAAAACATAAGAAAGTATCTTAGTGACTTAGTGTAGGCAAATCATTTTGAGAAGTCACAGAAAACAATATCCATAAATAATTAGTAAATTAAATTTTCAACAAAATGTACAACTTCTTTTCATCAAATGACAGCATGAAGAAAATGAATTAGCAAGATATAGGAACAGAAAGAAAAATATGAAACTCATATATGTGAGAGAGTACTGATATCCAGGATATAAAAAGAATTCCTATAGCTCAAAATAAAAAGTTTCTACAATTAAAAATATGAGACAAACATCTTACTAGACATCTCATAAAAGGAGATACAAGCATACGTTGAAGATATTGTGATTCAGTTCCAGACCACTGCAATAAGCAAATATCACAGTAAAGGAAGTCACACAACTTTTTTCACTTCAAGGGCATGTAAAAGTTATGTTTATACTACACTATAGTCAACGAAGCGTATAATAGCATTATGTCTAAAAAATCCAATGGGATTACCTTAATTAAAATATAATTTGTCATAAAAAATGCTAACAATCATCTGAGACTTTAGCAAGTCATAATCTTTTTGCTGGTGAAGGATCAGCCTCATGTTGATGGTTGCTGACTGATCAAGGTGGTAGTTGCTGAAGGTTAGGATGACTGTGACAATTTCCTAAAATAAGACAATAATGAAGCTTGCCACATCAATTGACTATTTTTCATAAATAGTCTCTGTGGTATGTTATGTTATTTGAAAGCATTTACCAATAGTAGAAACTTCTTTCCAAACTGGAGTCAATCTTTTCAAATCTTGCCTCTGCTTTATTCATTAGGTTTATGTAATATTCTAAATTTTTTGTGGTCATTTCAACAATATTCACAGCATCTTCACCAGGAGTAGTTTCCGTTTCAAGAAACCACTTTTTTTGCTCATCCATAGAAACAACTCCTCATACATTGAAGTTTTACCATGAGATTGCAGTAATTCAGGCCCAGGTTCAGTCTCCACCTCTAATTCTAGTTCCGTTTCCATTTTCACCACATCTGCAGTTACTTCCTCCACTGAAGTCTTGAACACCTTAAAGTCTTCCATGAGGGTTGGAATCCACTTCTCCCAAATTCCTGTTAATGTCGATATTTTCACCCCCTCTCATGAATCACAAATGTTCTCAGTGGCATCTAGAATGGTGAATCCTTTTCAGAAGGTTTAAAATGTATTTTGCCCAAATCTCAGAAAATTCATTATCTATGTCAGCTAAACTTTTATGAAATATGTTTTTTTGACAATAAGACTTAAAAGTTGCAATTACCCTTTGACTCATGAGCTGCAGAGTTGATACTGTGTTAGCAGGCATGAAAACATTATTCTTCTTGTACATCTCCATCAGAATTCTTGGATGACTAGGCGCATTGTCAATGAGCGGTAATATTTTGAAATAAATCTTTTTTTTTTTTCTGAACAGCATTTCTCAACAGGAGGCTTACATTTTTCAGTAAACCAAGTTGTAAACAAAAGTTAGATCATTATCGTTTTGTTGTTCTATTTCTAGAGCACAGGGAGGAGTAGATTTAGCATAATTCCTAAGGTACCTAAGATTTTCAGAATGATAGGTGAGCACTGGCTTCAACTTAAAGTCACCAGCTGCTTTAGCCCGTAACAAGAGAGTCAGCTTGTCCTTTGAATCTTTGAAGGCAGGCATTGACTTCACTTCAGCTATAAAAGTCTTAAACAGCAACTTCTTCTAATAGAAAGCTATTTCAGCTACGTTTAAAATCTGTTGTGTGGTGTAGTTACCCTCAACAATAATCTTAGCTAGATCTTCTGGATAACTTGCTGCAGCTTCTACATCAGCAATTGCTGCTTCACCTTGCACTTTTATGTTATGGAAATGGCTTCTTTCCTTAAACCTGATGACCCAACCTCTGCTAGCTTCTAATTTTTCTTCTACAGCTTTTTCATGTTTCTCAGCCATCATAGACTTAAAGATAGTTAGGGCTTTGCTCTGAATTAGACTTTGGTTTAAGGGAATGTTGTGGTTAATTTGATCTATCCAGACCACTAAAACTTTCTCCATATCTTGAACAAGGCTGTTTCGCTTTCTTATCATTCATATGTTCACTGGAGTGGTACTTCTAAATTCCTTCAAGAACTTTTCCTTTCCCAACTTGATTAACTGGCCCAAGAGGCTTAGCTGTCAGTCTATCCTGGCTTTTGACATGTTTTTCTCAGTAAGCTTCATCATTGCTAGCTTTTGATTTCAAATACAAAATGTACCACACTTTTTTTTCACTCAAACACTTAGAGGCATTGTAGGGTTATCAACTATTCTAATATGAGTATTGTTTTGTCTTAGGTAATAGAGAGGCCCAAAGAGAGAGGGAGAAGAGAGATAGGGGAATGGCCATTTGGTGGTGCAGTTAGAACTTACGGATTGTTTGCCATCTCATATGGGCACAGTTTGTGGTGCCCCAAAACAATTAATTACAATAGTAACATCAAAGTCACTGATCACATATCATCAGAACATACATAACATAGTGGGAAAGTTTGGAATATTGTAAGAAATACCAAAAACTAACGAAGAGACACAAAGAGGGCACATGCTGTTAAAATAAAATAATGCTGATAGACTTGCTCAACGCAGGGTTGCCACGAACCTTCAATTTGTAAAACACACTATCTGTGTAGCACAATAAAACAAGTTATGCCTTACACAAATGGCCTATAAGCATATAAGAAAGAGCTCAACATAATTATCATCAGAGAAATTCAAATTAAACCCACAATGAGACATTATTACGCATTCATCAGAACGGCTAAAATTTTTAAAGACTGATAACAACAACTAGATGTGAGGATGTGGAGGTGGTACCGTACAGTGTTTGCTGGGAGTACAAAAGTGTATATGCACTTTGAAAAAAATCTGGTGTTTTCTTTCAAAACTAAACATATACTTAAGACCCAGCAATCTGACGTTACATTGTTACCTAAAAGAAAAGAAAATACATGCCCACAGAAAACTTTTGTAACTTTAAAACAGCTTTGTTCATAATACTCACAAACTAGAAATGACCCAGCTTCCTGCCAATAGGACAACTAGTAAATAATCTATAATATATTCATACAATGGGATACCATTCCACATTTAAAGAGTCAAGCTACTGACAAATCCAACAACATGGGTAAATCTCAAAAACATTATGCTCAGTCAAATGAGCTTTACAAAAAAAGAGTACATTTTATATTGTTCACTTATGTGAAGTTCTAGATCAGGTGACTCTAATTGATGGCAGAAAAGCACTAGAACAATGGTTGCCAGAAGGCAGAATTAGGAGTTAATTTGAAAAGAGGATGAGAGAAATTTCTGGGATAATGGTGTTCTATATCTTGATTGAGGTTCGGTTTACAAATGAATAGGCACTTGCCAAAATTCACTGAATTGCACACTTAAGATTTGTGCATTTTGTTATATGTAAATTTTACATAAAAGGCATCAAATTTTGAACTCCAATTAATATTGCATATGGTAAGGTATTATGGGAAAGTTTATGGCTCTCTATAATGGGAACTTTCTATGGGAATGTTCATGGCCCTCCTTTAAATGCATCAAATGTAAGATAGTTGGATGGATAAATAAAGGAATGGAGTAGCATAAATATCTAATAAAACATTTTTATCAGCCCCCAGAATTGTGAAAATAAATTTTTGTTGTTTAATCCACTCAGTCTGTATTATTTTGTTATGGCAACCCAAGCAGACTAATGCAACAGGTGTTCATTGTAAAATTCTTTCAACTCTGTTATATATTCAAAAATTCACATGAAAAAGACTAACAAATAAACCAAAAATTCAAATAGAATTAATGATTAAGAGCACTACCTTTGGAATCATAAAGAATTGCACCCTAACTGTAGCTCCGCAACTTGCTAGTTGGGTGAAAATTAGTGTTATGTAACCTATCTTAGCCTTCTGTTCTCATTTGAAAATGGGTATCATAATAAAACACCTCTCTCAGTTTGATGTAAACATGAAATAAAATATTATATATGCTAATACCTAGCACAAAGCCTTTGACATATAAAGTGCTCAATTAACGTTTGTTACTAATAGCTTTTTACTACTACCTTGCAGATTTTAATATCTTGAAATAAAAGAAAAAAATATGTGAAGTACTATCTCAGCTTTCAAAGTCAAAGCACCAGGTCATTGTATGTCCTTTTACTTCTTCTCTTCAGTGTTGGTATACATTCAAACACTTATCAGCACTTTTCATTCTACCCACTCTCAGGGTGAAAAAATGGACTATAAACCAAAGTAAGAGGAAAATTCATTACCAAATGTGTTAATTTTTAAACACTTTTTTTACTTCATTAAAGAAAAGTAGACTTCTGTTACCATAGTGATTTGATTAATTCTGCTGAGAGTAGCAAGATTCTCAGATATTCTCCTGTAATTGTGCAATATATAAATCTAAATAAAAACATAAAAATTTGATAAACCCTGTATGTAGCATATGTGTGTTTTAAAGAGAAATAATAAAATGAACATATATATATATATATATATAAATACTGTCTAAAAGAAAAAATATCTTTACTTTGAAGCTTTCTCTAAGTCTCTTCCCAAACGCTTTATCCCACTGCTTCCCCAACTCTTCCAAGAAGTAAACACTATGGTGAATTTTGTTGATTATCCCCTCTAGGCTATAGAGGACAGTGAAAGAGCACAAACTCATTGAGCCAGGCTCATTGAGCTAGGCTCAAAAACTTGTGAGCTAGGCTGCTAGATTTAAGTCCTGGATCTCCTACTTTATAACTGTGTGACTTAGAGGCCGTTGCTTAACCTCTCTCTATGTCATTTCCTATATTTGAATGGGAATCATAATATTAGTTAAGAATATATATTGTATTTTATTGAAAGTGTCTGGCACATAGTGCTTTAGATATATTTTCTATTATTTTGCTTTTCTACTTAGTTCAACCTATTTGTATGAATCTCTATAAAAATATATTCCCTTACACCAGTAATCCCAGCACTTTGGGAGGCCAAGGTTGGCGGATTACGAGGTCAGGAGAGCGAGACAATCCTGGCTAACATGGTGAAACCCCATCTCTACTAAAGACACAAAAAATTAGCCAGGCGTGATGGCGGGCACCTGTAGTCCCAGCTACTAGGGAGGCTGAGGCAGGAGAATGGCGTGAACCCGGGAGGCGGAGCTTGCAGTGAGCCGAGATTGCGCCACTGCACTCCAGCCTGGGTGACAGAGCGAGACTGTGTCTCAAATATATATTATATATTATATATATTATATATTTATTTATTTATATTCCTGAATTTTGGCTGATTTTGACATTTACAGATAAGGGATTATACTACTATCAAGTAGAGCTTGCTTTGATCTTTCAAAATAAACTTTTGATAGTCTTTCAATATATGTGATTGTTTGGTTTATTCTTTTTTTGCTGTCATATAATATTCCACTGTATGAATACATGACTATTATTCTTTCTTTTGTTGATAAATTCTTGGACTATATCTACATTTTTATATTAGAAACAGTAGTACTCAGCCATTTCATGTCATTATCATGACAAAATATCCCACATGTGTACATGTGGGATGGTAAACATCATCTGTCAATTCCCTCTCAATTAATGTAGAATATTATGAGTTACAGAATAACAGTTCTTTTTTGTACTTAAATCCTTATGTATTGATCATATATAGAAATATTTCTCCACATAAATCAATATTTAAGAAAACAAATCTACCACCTTGTGAAGAGTTATGAATTTTCAATTTGCTTTTCATCAAATCCTATTTTATTTTTATAAAAATGACTGAAGAAGTCACAATTAAAGTGTTATTATTGGGCTAGACAGCCACAAAACATATTTTGAATGTATTGAACAACTTTAACCTTCATGAGGAACCAAATTTTAATTAACACCCAAATCATTCAAATGCTCCTAAATTTTTGTCTCTGCATGGCTAAAACTTAGTGAATGGTTATGGTGTCTAATGAACGAATCTATTAAGAACTTGTCAATAACACAGATAAGTGTTTTATTTGCTTTACTAACAGCCTGTAGAACAAAAAGCTTTCGATATCTTTGACTAAATTAATGGGCTAGTATCTGATAGAGAGCAAGTGGTTTAATCATTATAACAGATGATTCTGAGTTTAGAGTCATAGGTTTAAATTCTTTTGAGATTTTTCACTTAGCCCTATCATTAGCATACATTGATTGCTCTGATTGGCTAATCATTGAATTAGGAAATAGATAACCTTAGTTACTAAACTGGTTCAGTACATAGTTTTCAAACGTTGGGAGAGAATTAGTCAATTTTGCATAAATATATCCTTGAGATTTAATGTGTTTTTCAATAAAAGTTATTAAAAAATTAATCCTAATATAAATATATAAATAAAACACCTAAATAAACAAAATATTGTTATTAGTGAAATAAAATATCTGATTGGAAAACTTGAAACAGCCAGAGATATATGTTGGCTGATTGTGTTTATTATGTATTTGAGCCCTTTATTAAAATCCATCTGTATAACAAAAATCTGTTTTCTAGAATACTTTAAACTAGTGATAACTAATCCTATTGCTTGCATGTAGAAATGTTCTGAGATACAATGAGAAAGGCCTTAAGAGACATTGGTTCACAGAACAATTAAACTATCATATGTATTCCCTAAGGAGCTTCTCCTATTACAAATAATACTGACATAACAGGAGGGGATGAACATTCTGGTTAAATGATAATGAACAATACAAAATGTAATGCTGTATAGGTATGAATAAGACATAAGGAAATTGTTTCAAAAGCCAGCCCAACGGCTCTTTGATACAAACCCATGGGCTCTTCCCTTTCCAATGAGCTCAATTAGCCCTCTGCTCCATGACATCACAAAGTAACTGGTTTAAACTGTGCTTCACGAGCCTTTTACATACAAGAATTAAACAAGCCTGTCTCATTTAATTTCAGTTAATGTAAGTGAGCTTCTGAAAGTGAATTGCTCCGTTGTAACACCGAGCTTGAAGCCAAGTTGGCTGATTAATTCCTAGCTGTTTGAAGTGTTTTCTTCTCTTATCTTGAGCTATGCAGGCCTTACTACAGCCTGAGGAGAGCTGAGCCTAAATGTATGGGAGAATTTGGTTTCCTCTCCACAGAGAGGAATGGAGACCAGATAAGCACTGTGGCGTAAAACTGAAAACAACCAAATACTTGTTGCCAATTTTGAGAAATGTGCGGGATATAGGGCTAATTAGAGAAACCAAAAAGTCCATAATATAGCATCCTTCTATCTGACTTTCAATTCACTGGTACACTGTGCAATTTTAATTGAAAATTACTATTGCCTAGAAATTAACATTACCCTAAAGATGCCCTAGTTAGTTCCAGTTGAGGTTTTTACATAAAATAAGCATTAGCAGCATGATTAAGGAAGGGAGGAAGGGAGAGGCTGAATATGGTGAGTCATTAGGGCAACAATTAGGACACTTTCCCAGATTTTACTCTATAACCTTTAGAAATCTTCAGATAATCTGTTTTGCTATTCCCAGGAGAGTTCTTTTATGTTCTCCAAAGCAAAATATGCCTCACGATGAATTTCCTAAAAACATATCATGGTGTATCTTCCAGCTTGAGATGAAAAAGCATTGGCTTTTAGGAGGTAATTTAGTGACTACACCCTAAGCTTTCCCCCCCAACACACACACATACTCACACCCTGCTCCCGTCTCACACATACTTTTCATATCTTGAGTGCATATTTTGTTCTAAATAGACATTGCGACAAATGGTGGTGTATTAGTCTGTTCTCACATTATTATAAAGAAATACCTGAGACTGGGTTGGGCATGGTGACTCATGCCTGTAATCCCAGCACTTTGGGAGGCTGAGGTGGGTGGATCATGAGGTCAGGAGATCGAGACTAGCCTGGTTAACGTGGTGAAACCCCGTCTCTACTGAAAATACAAAAATTGGCCAGGTGTGGTTGTGTGTGCCTGAAGTCCCAGCTACTCAGGAGGCTGAGGCAGGAGAATCGCTTGAACCCGGGAGGCGGAGGTTGCAGTGAGCTGAGATCATGCCATTGCACTCCAGCCTGGGTGACAGAGCAAGACTCCAATTAAAAAAAAAATCAAATCTCCTGATAACTCATTCACTATTACAAGAACAGCATGGGGGACACTGCCCCCATGATATAATCACCTCCCTCCCTCCACAGTGGGGATTACAGGTCCCTCCCTCAACAGGTGGGGATTACAATTCAAGATGAGATTTGGGTGGGACACAGAGCCAAACCATATCATTCTGCCCCTGGCCCCTCCCTCCCCTGGTCTCTCATGTCCTCACATTTCAAAACACAATCATGCCTTCCCAACAGTCCCCCAATATCTTAACTCATTCCAACATTAATCCAAAAATCCATAGTCCAAAGTCTCATCTGAGACAAGGCAAGTCCCTTCTGCCTGTGAGCCTGTAAAATAATAAACAAGTTAGTTCTTTCCAAGATACAATGGGGGTACAGACATTGGGTAAATACACCTTTTCCAAATAGGAGAAATTGGCTAAAACAAAGGGGATAGGCCCCATGCAAGTCCAAAATCCAGGGGGCCAATTATCAAATCTTAAGTTTCAAAAATTATCTTCTTCACTTCCATGTCTAGCATCTGGGCATGCTGATACAAGGGGTGGGCTCCCATGACCTTAAGTAGCTCCTTCATGGGCTGGCATTGAGTGCCTATGTCTTTTCTAGGTGCACAGTGCAAGCTGTTGGTGGATCTACCATTTTGGGTTTTGGAGGGCTGTGACCCTCTTCTCACTGCTTCACTAGGCAATATCCCAGTGAGGACTCTGTGTGAGGGCTCCAACCCCACATTTGGCTTGGATAAATGTTTTCCCTGTACTCTCACACTTCTCTTTTCCTTGCCTGCTGCCATGGAAGACATGCCTGCTTCACCTTCCGCCATGATTGTTAAGTTCCCTGAGGCCTCCTCAGCCATGTGGAATGGTGAGTCAATTAAACCTCTTTCCTTTATAAATTACCCAGTCTCAAGAATTTCTTTATAGCAGTATGAGAACAAACTAATACAGCAGGCTAAGCAGGAAACTTGAGACTAGGTAAGCTTTCTTCCTTCCCTCCATTTGGCAATGCTGCCAGGCCAAAGCAACCAAAATGAGCCACGCAGCTACTGTCAGTAGACAGCCCTGTGGGGCTGAAGACTTGAACAGCAAACCAGATCATTGCCAGGGAACCCATCAGAGTGGTTTCAGCCTCAGAGAGAGCAAAACTATTAAATTAAAGCTGGCTCGAACGAATGTTCCTTTCCATTGCCTGTGATGTTTGCTGAAATAAACATCCGAAGCACTGTAACAAAATAAGAAAACAAAATACCCAAGGATATAAAACAAACAGTAGAACCATTCTTTCAACCACTCTTCCCACCCTGTAAAGAACTTGAAGCTGCAGTAAATCCAGATAGTCGCTGTGCAAAAAGCCAAATATTTAAGTTCACTATAGACATTTGTCTTATTTCCTGATCAGCAATGTACTTTCTCATTTTGAGAAATTTTCATAAATCTGATGAGACGCTATGTGATATCATATCAAACTTCCTATAAAAGTACTTCTAGAATGATGCTCACCATAGCAACTGAGCACTCCAATTGTGTTATCCGAACGTGGGCTATATGGGGAAGAGAACATTTCTCTCATCTTTATTTCAGGATTGTGTAAGGTTAAAATAGTTAATGGTTAGAAAACTATATATATGGATTGTGATATTTGGAGATTAGCATCAACTTATGAGAAAGGATATATTTTATGTCACTCCCTAGTAATACACCAATAGCTTAAGAATTCGTGTTCGTGGAAGAAAATCCTTTACTTAAGGAATTCTGTCCTAGGAGGACATATGAATTCTGATAAAGTGAAGAGTAAATACCTAAACAATCTGATACCAAAAATTTTGAAGTGTCACAATATAATTGTAACATGAAACTGTATGTACAATTAAATGTTCAAAATCTTGAAGTTTCTTTTCTCTGTGTCATAAACACAAAAAAGTAATAATGAATTATATTTATAAATTAATGAGACTAATTTATCTTTGGCTCATTAGTTAATTTTAAAGTTATTTTCTGAAACTTTCAAAAAATTGTTTGATGATTGGAAAATGTATATAATAATCATAATTACTATTTATTTGGCATCCACTGTATACAGGTACTTTACCAAATGGTCTCATTTGATGACAACACTATTAGAAGAAAAGTATTTGATTCTGTTTTTGGAAACAAAGACACTGGTGCTGATAAAATAAATGACATATCCAAAGTCACATGGGTAGTTAGAGCCAAAGCCCGAAATTTCCTCTACCAGCTCCTTTCACTATA
Source organism: Homo sapiens (assembly GCF_000001405.40). NCBI lineage: Eukaryota > Metazoa > Chordata > Mammalia > Primates > Hominidae > Homo > Homo sapiens. Next base: position 96,100,021 of record NC_000004.12, on the reverse strand, counting down.
TCCTTCTTTATATTCATCCATTTATTTCTCTTCCTGTTATTGCACCCTCATCTCCCCCCTATTTTCTCCTTTCTTCTGTTGCACTAATTACTCCCTAGCATTCTGTTGAGATTAAACTAAAAAATTTTGGTCTCCAAAAGCACAAGATTACAGATGATGCCATCTCTAGTAAAGGGTACACTTTCCCAGGGATTTCAGAGATGTTTTTCTTCTAATTTTGAAAGGATAAAGCAAATTGACAATCTGTACCTGAAGCCTAATCCAAATGTATCTTCTCCATGGCTAACCTTCGTTGGAGGCAGTTTTTCCTTCCGATACCTCTTTTAGTCTTATGATTACCACAGGAAATAAATAATATTTTGGGTTTGAAACCACTCTCAATATTAATTTTATAGCTTTAAGGCACTAAAGCCATTACAATTGTAATTTTTGGTATTAATTATGAAATAAGGTATTACTGTATTTTGTAAGGTTCCTTATAAAATAGCAAGGTGGTTATAATGTTTTCTAATACAGCAGTAAGTATAATACTGCAGGATTTACCTGTCACTTGTAAGAATACATAAATGTGTCTTTCATTTACGTTACTAAAAAAAAAATCTATCACAGTGAGGGTTTTTGGTTCTGGAAATACATTTTAATCAACTTAGCAACATAAGAAAACCAAGTTAGATACCACTGTAGAGTTTAGGCCAATATTTTCTCTCTTTCTTTCATATCCTTGGCTAGTATAAAAACCTCAAGGGAAATTAGACCAAAAATGGTTTCTGGAAAAACTTCTGGAGCTTCTCACAGAGAACCAAGTAATATCTTGAGTAAACAATGGGCTCTGGTTTTTTTTTTTTCCTGGCCAGAAACAATTCTCATGATAGTAAACTAAGCCAAAGTGACTGGCTAATGACTTCACATATGTAGTTTGTTTTGTTTCTTTTTTATTTTGCTGACCCACCTACCATGTTCAGCAAATATACGTTTCATTAGATGTGTAGATCACAAGGAATAATGACGTTGAAGTAGCATAGTGTATTTATAATTTTATTTAACCAATCAGTCATCAGTGTTTTTGTATTAGCTATCTTCCTGACATTTAGAATTTCCCCTTGATCTTTTGTCTGATGTATGAAATACTAGGATTATTAGAAATCTTTTGTGCAATTTGGGGGTTAATGTTATGATTCGAATAAGGTCATTTCTTATCTTTTGACTTAAAATACACAGAATCATCCCATGAAGAATTCCTCAGAAAGCCTGAAAGAGTAAGGGCCATCTAAATTTCAGGCTTCAAATTCGAGTAGAATGTTCACAAACTTCAAAAAGCAGAAGATACAACATTAAGTCATTTTAAGAGCATAATTATGTATTTATTATTAATTATCTAGAAGTCATTAAAAAGGCATATTTCATAATTTGATGTTTTCACAATATCAAATTATTTTCTTATATTATTGAGTGCATTATAAGGGGTGCATGTGTGTAGAGTGCGTGTGTGTGTGTGTGTGTGTGTGTTGTTGGATTTTTTTTTTACATTTAACTTGTCCTATGTACTTGAAGAAAGCACAATTATAGTCTTTGGAGTTTTATCATCCTGCAAAAAAATGTCATATTATATATATAGGTGGGGCTATATGGGAAGGTATATGGATGAAACAAGGTTGGCCAAGGTTGATAACTTTTGAAGCTAGATGATGGGTACAAGGAAGTTCATTATACTATTTGCTCTTCTTTTTTATTTGTATAAAGATTTCTAACACTAAGAAATTTCACATGATATTGGCAAAAATGATCCCATAGCTCTAATCCCATGTTATAATGATTTCAGCCTCCTAGATGTTCAGTTAATTCTTATATGCTTTCATTTTATGTACGCACACATACATAGAAAGAAAAAATACTTTCTCATTTATGTTTTCTATCTCCTTTAAAAACCCTATTTAACATGTAGTTAACCATATTCTATGTGGTTCTATTTTCTATACCAAATCACTTCTATTTTTGTAACCATATGATTATTTTGATTATTCTCAAGACTTTATGCTCAGAATTCAGGTAATTTTCTTCTGTGTTCTTTAGTAGTTCCTCGAAGAGTTCTCTTAGCTCTTATCTGTGCTTATCAAGTCATAAAGTCTGCTGGACAAATTTACAGTAGGTAAGGCAGTGTCACTGAAATGTTTTCCCCATGATATATCATCTTGTTCTAATTGCAGAGCAATGACATGTTTAAGAAAAAGGAATTCCTTGTTCAAGCCAGTTGCCCATTATGGTTCATTATTTAAGACTAAGCTTTGTCACCTCAATCAAAATACTCAACTATAATTTTCTTGATAGAACATTACTGTCCTCCTGAAAAATTCAAAGGGCTCAATACTATCTCATGGTATTTATTTAATATGGTCTTTCATATCATTACAGTATGCCAGTTACTACTTTCGTTTCAGTCCTGTTCAGGTTGGGGCAAGGCAAGTTAATATACGTAGCTGCGCTCAGAATTTCAAACAGAAGAATCTTAGGTTGAAAAGCTGATTAAAGTTTTGCCCCCTGGAAGAGCACCTAAAGTGAGTGAATTTCTCACAAAGATAAGTATGTTCCCACGAATGGCACACAGGCCTCAACAAGCATGAGTACCAGCTGATGCTGCAGCAAAACCAGACTTGGATTCTACAGGAATCAGGCACTGAAAACCACGGTGTTTGAAAAGAGCCTCTGGTAGAAATTTCTAGATAAAAGACACAAACAGCTTGTAATGTCCTCATTATCTTCAAAACAAAGCATGTTGTTAAATACGCCAGAGGACTTACCACTTTCCATAGACATTGTGGTGCAGAATTCCCCTCTTTCAGTCATGCAGTTAACGTGCATCAGCACCTTTAAAGAGAAAGAAATATAAAAGGACATTACTCACACATTTCTGGTTATGTAGTAATTTCTTGGAACAGCAAATTCCCCAGATGATTTCATTATCCTAATGTAAAGATTTTTATGGAATGTTAGATAATATAATTATAAGACCTCCCTAATAAATCTTAGAATACTTTTATAACTTGATTATTTACTTTATACATTTATCACCATATTTTTTTTTGCTTTATGTTTTATTTTTGTTGTTGTTTTAATTTTGATCTATCCTGATTTTCAGCTTAGAACTCTGTAGATTTTAATGGTGCTGTTTTCATTTTATAAAGGCTTTCCTTAAGATGTAAATGTTAAGTGTTTAGCCTATTCATTCTTAGAAAAGTAGTTAGTTTCTAAGACTAAGGTTTTCTGGGATATGCATTATAGGTATATATTTGGGGAAAAACAATGTATAAATTTGCTAATTACTTTATGAATCATTTTATATTTGTTAAATGCATAACCTACTAATTCTATATTTTAGAAATTCATTATCTTTATTTATAGTAGACACTTATTCAGTACACACTAGCATAATTAATGTGTTTTCCAATTTTGTTTCTATTTAAGGCTAATGAAATATTTCACTATGAATTAGACATTGAAATTGTATTTTAGTGCTTCCCAACTCACAAAATTTATCTTGTTTTTAATAACTTTAAAAGTCATATTGTAGAATGGCCAAAAGTTAATATGACACCTAAACCATTGTCTACAGCACAGACATTACATGCAATATATTTTATTTAATTTCAGTTTCTAATAGCTTTACAATTATTGATGTATATATTTATTAATTTTTAGGTGTGAACATTGAAGAAAAATTATAAATACATATACTCATTTTGATATCTCTAATAATATTTATCAACCAGTGATATTTTCTCTGAATCTGGCTTTATTTATTGTTACTAGAAATATTTATTTAATTTGCATGATAACCAGTTGACCTATAGAAAGTGGGCATACCAAATTCATTTTGATAGAAAATTTTCAGAATATTATTTTACTGATCTGCCTACATGCTTATTCTAAGTCAAGAAAGTGAAATAATTTACTTCCATATATTTGAAGTAAACTGTGCTAATGAAAACTGTAAACAGGCTACTTTGTAGGTATCAGTAAGAGAATACTGACTTTCTATTTAGAAATAAATCTTACAAATTGACATTGTTTTAAGAAAAAAAAACTGTTGTGTTATTAGTTGCCTCATAAAGATACTGACCGCTGCATATAGACTTTGCCGTTATCATAATGACAGTATTCTAGTAATTATTTAATAAAATTATGATTTTGTTATACAAGAAATTTTGTCACTTTATACCAAATACATTTGTTTCAGTACTACATGCTAAATGGTTTCATATTTTAGAAACTATACTTTCAGCAAGCTAAGCAAGAAAAATATGCAACACTTTTTATTTATTCACTCATTCAACCAGTATCACCATTAAGCCACAATCTGCTAGACACTGTGCTAGTTGGTCCCTGAGTGCTCAGTGCTGAGAAAAATAGATAATACAATTGAGAAAAGACAACACCAATGTTCTATGATACAGGAAGAAATCAATCAAGTACAATTTTTTAAAAAGAGATAGATAAGGAAATAGAGGGAAGGAGATGAGATAATGTTAAGGAGGTGAGCTAATGTTTCGATAAGGGAATGCGGCAACTAAGCAAAGGGTCAGAAAAAGAGCAATTCTGGACAGAGTGAACAGCCTGTGCAAAGCTCTAAGTTAAAATATACCTTTGCATATTTGTAGAACCGAGAGAAGACCAAGATAGATAAGAGTAAGTGAGGTAAAAAGAAGCACAAAATCAGGTTGGAGAGGTAGGTGTATTGAAAATCTTAAATTCAATCATTGTTATTGTTGCTGCTGCTGCTGCTGTAATTTTTATACCTGTATACCTACTTCCATCATCATTTTATAATTTTTCTTAAAAAAGAAATTAATAATATCCTTTCTTATTCTAGTTTCCTGGAGTAGAAAATCGAGATTCAGAAAGACATTGTGAGCAATTTGTTCTTTTCTGAATAAAAACATAATTTCCTTTGATGGCTCGGCTCCGGGATCTATCAGCAGGAATCAAACTGATCACCTAAAACTTTAGCAACTGATGCTTAGCACCATGGTGTACAAAACTTGGTTCTTTTTAAAAAATCTTTCAATAAAAGTTCTTAGATAGATGTTTATTTGGTGATTGCTTTCTCCTTCAGCTTCTGCAATTCTGATTGCTTTTTCATTACTCTTCTCATATTGAAAGACCACTGCTTATTTGTTACTTGTTTATATGTTTTTATGTTTGTTTAGAACAACTCAGAAAGGACTTATTAGACACTGTTTTCCTTCTGGGAATTAACTTAATATGACTATATTGAAGTCAATTATATAAGTTGGCTTTGGAGGGTCACTGGCCCTTCTAATGTCAGGGAAAAGAGACCCAACAAAAATGGCACTGAGGATACTGTAGCTGCCTCCTCATTTGCTTTCCACATGTCCACTCCTTTCCCATTTGACAATATCTGCACTTAGTTAATAAAAATTCTATTTTGCTTACAAACATACTAATCTCTGCTTACTCTAAACCTTTAACTAGAATACATAGCACCTCACTATTTGATCCGAAACTACTTCTCACAGCTTTAAAGGTCACCAGTCTTTTCTTACACACCATATATCCGTATCACATTGAATGAAGAGTCAGTCTTTATGGAATTTTGTAGAATGAGCTTTGAAAATCCTATTAACTCAGAGATCTAAGGAAGACAGCAGGGAATCGTTTTGTGTGGCATCAAAGACTGGCCTTTTGTGAACAATTCAATTTATCAAAGGTCTCATTCTGAAAGGCTTAGGTTCACTATGTCTTATATTAGGTCCGGGTAAATGCATTATTAATTAACCATCAGCACGGGACCAAATACAAGCCTCTCCCTCACACAAGAATGTGGGCTCTAGAAATGGACAGGCTGAATAATTCTATTTCCTGCCCCCTCCCAACCTTTTCCACTAGAATATAAGCTGTATGAAGACATGAAGCGTTTCTGTCTGCTTCACAACAACAAGCAAGGTGACCCTTAACAGTGCCAAGAGAAAATTCAGAATATTTAAAATTATAGTATATTTTTCCATTCATGTTACAGGATAGTTTCATGGTATAGATAAGTGACTGATAAGATGGCTTCACAAATTTTGCAGGGACCAAGTTGTTCTGCCATCTTCAATACATAAAATATACTTAATGATCCAAGATGGCTACTTGAGCTCCAGCTACTATGTTCACATTTCAGTCAGCAGAAGAGCAAGAGACAAAGAAAGGTTATCACCCTCTTTTTAAACAAGGTAACTGAAAGCAGTACAGAACACTTTTGCTAATATCAGTCAAAATTTAACCACATGGCCACATTTGGCTATAAAGAGAAACTAGAAAATGTCTTTCCTCCTGGAGGTTATAAGCCTAGCTAAAGCCCAGAAAATAAGTTACTAAGTGGAGACAGATATTTAACACTGTTTCCCCTCATTTGTCACAGTATATAGCATATAAATATGTCAATTGAGTTAATATCCTGTTGAATTTCTGTCTCTGCTCAATCAAGCGTGTTATCTTATTAAAATTTCACACCAATCCTCTAAATGATGCATTATTCCAACCATTTTAGAGGAAACAAAACTGAAGCCCAGAACATACAAGAGACTTGCCCATAATCACGCACTGAAGTAGTATTACAGTCCTAGCATTGAACCTTAAAGACATTCCTTGTGTCTCAAGGGTAATGACAGTCTTTTATAGCCTTCCACAGACTCTGGCAGGGAAACTGACTTTTTTTTAGCTGTTCCTATTGCACGTGGATGGAAACGGCTTCCAAGAAACCCATGTTTATATTTGCTTTGTCCTGCCCTCTTTGGCCTGCCTGTTTGCCAACCTGGTGCTATCAACTGCTTCTGCACCTGTGCAGGTTTACAAAAAATTTTTGCCAAATTGAATGGAAGATTTGAAACACATAGACAGAGGTAGTTGAAGGATAATGATGATGAGGCTGGCTGCTTAGTTGCAGATCTGTGATTCATGCTAACTTTCTTATCAGAATATAGGTTGGACACAAATTTATAATATCTATGATACTTATTAAATAACTACAATTACGTTACAGAGAAATACTGAACTTAGAAGAGTTACCTAACAAGAGCCATTCAAACTAAGATCATCTTCCTAGACCTAAGGTTATACAGAGGAGAAGTTTTATCTATGAGATTCCATTCTGTCACTTAGTTTATTGAGCTATCTGGCTGCCTTAGTTTCCACCCAGTATTTGAAATATGTGTTTATAGCAATACATATGAAACTGTGACTAAAGTAATATGAAAGTTGCAAATGTAGAAACATGGTTCTGACAAAGAAAAAAGTCTACATTCTAATAGTAATTAGTTACTCTGTTACCATCAGCCTCTGATGTTATAGCTCATAACCTTGTTGCAAACATGTACATTTTTATGTATCTATCATTGTTGTAATAAGTTCATTAATTTTTAAGTGTCTTACTGGTGAATATATTACTTGTCTTTTCCACTAAATCAACACTTTCCATTGTCCCTTGAGTAAATATTTTTGAAACGAAAATCAATAAAATGACTTCCTATTCAGCTAAGTGTTTTAAATGAGGTTTTCTCTTCAGGTGAAAGACTCTAGGTGTGGTCATGTATTTTTTTAGAATTGAAATTCCAAATTGCTATGGTAGAGTTATTTTGTTTGTTTTATCTGGTTTTGAGAAACTAAACTGAAACCTCTATCTTGTTAGATAACTTCAGTTTCTACCAGGGTGCTTTGATGGGAGAGAGTTCTGTTTTCTGTATTTCAGTGTGCTATATTTGTAATTAAGTGCTAAACAATAGTAGTAACACTGATAATAATAGTAATAATAATATCAGTCAAGATTGGCCCACATGTGGAGACCCCACACCAACAACACACACACACATATACACATACACACACACACACTTTTGTGCTATCTTCATAGCCATTTACTAATGTGCTACTTTTGAATGCTGTTAGTCTTCTACTTGTACAGAAAACTGTGTGCTTCAATCAACCAGTCTTCTAATCTACTGAAAAAATGAAAAGACCTTGGAAACTCTCTTTTCATAGGTGAAGTAGAGGTGCTTTTTTAGTACCATATGGCAGCTGTAGACATATTTATGGCTGAATAATACTCTACCACATGGTAGAGTGGCATAAAAAATGTGAGTGATGACTTCTTCCCTGAAAAAGTTTATAGTCTATTAAAAGAATATAAATAGATACATTAAAATACAAAAGAGTAAATACATTTGGTAACTGCTTTCAGATATAATGAAGGAACCATTAGTAACATTTATTCAGCATTCAGCGCAGAGAAGGAGCAACACTTTTTAATGTCAAGAGACATAAGAGGAACAGTACAAATTAGATGCCAAGTATATATAAAAAAAAACCTTAGTACATCAAACTCTATATTGTGTCTATAGAATTCAACAAACTGGGTTGAACAAAGTTAAAGATACTTTCATTGTAAGTCTTCTCAGAGCTGCTAATATACTAATTTGTACCATGTAACTCTGAAGGGAGAATTTAATTTGAAGCAGTTCTCCCCTCCCCCTCCCCAACCCCCTTTTTATGTAGGAGTGTTGAGGCTATTGCTCTACAGATTAGCAAAACCCCAAAAACCTAAGAAAGAAGATTTGCTCCTTTTTCTCTTCAAAAAAATGTTACAAATTCAAGATTTTAAAAGTATAAGTATTCATTTTGACACACTTCATAAATTCATCTTATCTATTAAGATTTTGCAATAGTATGCTTTCTAAAAAATTTATTGAGGTAAAATATACATACAAAAGTAATCATCTTTGTCATTTTTAAGTGTATAGTTCAGTGGTAATAATTATATTTATACTCTTTCTATCCTTTCATGCCACCTCCTGCCACCCTTCCTGGCCTCTGGTACCACCAATCTATGCTCTACCTTCATGAGATCCAATTTTTAAGCTCCCACATGTGAGTGAAAACAAGCAGTATTGATCTTTCTGTGTTTGGCTTACTGCATTTAACATCATAACCCCAGTTTCATTCATGTTGCTGTAAATGACAGTATTTCATTCTTTTTTATGGCTGAATGATATTCCATTGTGTATATATACATTTTTAATCCATTCTTCCATTGATGAATACTTAGGTTGATTCCATATTTTGGCTATTGCAAATGGGGCTACAATGAGCATAAGGGTGCAGATACTTCCTGACTATATTGTTTTCCTTTCTTTTGGATGTATACTCAGTAGTGGAATTATGGATCATATGGTAGTTCTATTTTTAGTTTTGTTTTTTTTTTGAGAAAACTTCATACTGGTCTCCACAGTGGCAGTAGGAATTAACATTTCCATCAATAGTGTATAAGTGTTCCCCTTTCTCCACAACCTCAGCAGCATCTGTTTCTGCCTGTCTTTTTGATACAAGCCATTTTAACTGGGGTGAGATGATACAACATTTTGTCATATACCCATTGGCCATGTGTATGTCTTATTTTTTAGAAATGTCTGTTCAACTCATCTGTTCATTTTAAAAATCAGGTTATTTGCTTTTTCTCCTATTGGGTTATTTCAGCTCCTTATATAATCTAATTATTAATCTCTTGTCAGATGGGTAGTTTGAAAATATTTTCTTCCATTCTGTAGGTTGTCTCTTCACTTTGCTGATTGTTTCATTTGCTGTGCAGAAGCTTTGTAGCTCCATGTAGTCCCATTTATCTATATTTGCTTTGGTTGCCTGTGCTTTTGAGGTCTCACACACAAAAAAATAGCTGCCAAGACCAATGTCCTCAAGTATTTTCCCAATGCTTTCTTCTAGTAGTTTAATGGTTTCAGATCTTACACTTAAGTCTTTAATTCATTTCAACTTGGTTTTTGTATATGATGAGACACAGGGGTCTAGTTTCATTCTTCTGTAGATAGTTTTCCAGTTTTTTCCAGAACCATTTATTGAAAAGACTGTTCCTTCCGCATTGTATGTTCTTAATGCCTTTGTCACAGATGAGTTGGCTGTAAATGTGTCAGTTTGTATCTGAGCTCTATAGTCTGTTCCATTAATCTAAGTGTTTGTTTTTATGCCAGTACCCTACTGTTTGGTTTACCATAGCTTTGTGGTAAATTTTAAAGCCAGGTAATGTGATGCCTCCAGTTTTGTTCTTTTTGGTCAGGTTTGCTTTGGCTATTCTGGGTATTTGTGGTTCCATATATATTTTAGGATTTTTTTTGTTTAATTTCTGTGAAGAATGTTATTGATATTTTGATGGGGGTTCCGCTGAATCTTTACATTGCTTTGGAAAGTACTGAGACATGACAATAGGGAACTGTGGTAACCAAGGGTTAAGGTATAAGCAAAAGAACAGCAGGTGCAGCAGTTCTAGGCAAGATTGGGCTGCATACAGGCCACACCTTCACTCCTGTGAAGACACAGACAACAAGACAGAAGTTTCCACTTCAGTCTCCGATTGACCACAGGCCTTCATAAGGTGTATCTAATTGGAGGCTTCAAAACAGCCCCTAGTGGCGTTGCCGGATTCTTTTGGCTTAATAAAAACCCTAATGGTGGAGAGGGGTTCTTGAGCTCTTGAGCCACTCCCGCTCTGTGAATTGTACTTTCACTTCTTCAGTAAACCTGCACTTTTTTTTTCTCTTTCCTTTTGTTGCTTTGTCTTTCATTGCTTCGTTCTTTTGTTTCTTTGTGCGTTTTGTTCAATTATTTGCTCAACATGCCCAGAACCTGGACAACTCACAGTAAAGACCTTCCAACAGGTAACAATATTGTCACTTTAACAATATTCATTCTTCTAATCCGTAGCATAAAATGTATTTCCATTTTTGTGTGTCCTTTTCCATTTCTTTCATCAAAGTTTTATAGTTTACCAAGGATAGAAATTTTACTTCTTTGGTTAGATTGATTCCTAGGTATTTTATATTTTTTGTAGCTATTATAAATGTGATTGGTTTCTTGATTTCTCTTTTCATATTGTTTGCTATTAGCACATATAAATGCTTGTGGTTTTTGTATGTTAATTTTGTATCCTGCAACTTTAATGAATGTATCTGTTCTGTTTTCTTTTTCTAGGTATAAGATTATGTTTTCTATGAACAAATGCTAATTTGACTTCTTCCTTTCCAATGTGGATGCCTTTTATTTTTTTCTCTTTCCTAATTGCTCTCGCCAGCACTTCTAGTGTTTTGTCGAATAAAAGTGGTGAAAGTGGGCATTCTTGTCTTGTTCCAATCCTTAGAGGAAAGGACTTCAAAATTTCCCCATTCAGCATTATGTTAGCTGTGGGTCTGCCATATATGACCTATATTATTTTGAGGTATGTTTCTTCCATACCCATTATGATGAGGGGTTTTTAATCAAAAAAGGATATTAGAAGTTTATATAAGCTTTTTTCTTTAAAATTTTATTTTCTAATTTTATAACTAAAAGATTATAGATATTTTAAGTTTATGACAGCCTAAATAATATGAATTTAGAACATGTTATCTTTTGGAGAGAAACAACAATATTCTCCACAGAATAACTAGTAGAAAGTAAAACAGAAGGTATGAGAGAGTAAAATGTAAAACACACACACACACACACACACACACACACAGACATGTTTTCAGTAGTGTCTATGTTGTATTATGTTTATTCCTTTACCTTAAGGACTGTATGTTGTATTATGTTTATTCCTTACCTTAAGAACTGTCTAAAAGGACTATATATTGTACTATGTTTATTCCTTTACCTTAAGGACTGTGTGTCATATTATGTTTATTCCTTACCTTAAGGACTGTCTAAAAGGCAAGTATTTAAATTACATTAAGAGCATACTTTTATGTAAAATATCCTAAAGTTGACTCATAGAGATATGGCAGACATTTGCATTATGTGAAATTTTTAAAAATTGGATTTAATTTGGCTTATATATTTTTCTCTTCCCTGATGGAGTAACTTTTTGAAGCTAATTCCCTTTTTATTTTATGATTTATGAGTCATCCAGTTTCACATAAGTTATCCTTCATAAAATGTTATATTTTCATGAACATATACATAGCAGGAAATTACTGAAATGGCCCAAATTATGAATTATTGCTCTCACATATTTTAAGGCCAACTTTGAAAAGTAATCATCAATTAAGTTTTATGTATCATCAACAAATGCTAAGGAATTACCTACTTTCTATCAAATCTCGATCTCCCTGTTAAATTTAAATCACAGTTTTCCATCATCCACCACTGGCCCCACCCTACCAGGCCAGTGGTTTTCAACTGGAATGAATTTTTTCGCTTAGGGAATATTTGGCAATGTGCAGAAACATTTTTTATTATCAAAACTGGACAACTAGCAGAGGCATACTATTGGCATCTACTTGATTGAGGCTAGAAGTGCTGTTACACATCCTAAAATGTTGATGCCCCCAACATGGCTAATCTGGCCCAGACATCAACACAGCAGCCAATGTTGAGAAAATCTGTGCTGAACAATGCTAGCTGGATATACCAGGGTCATCTCAAATGCACAACTAAAAGTCATCATTTCCCCTCTCCTCCCAACAAACTCTGCTCCACTTTTTTCTGACAGTACTCGAATCACCCATTAAGATTTAAAACCATAAACTCGATCATGAGACCTGTCTCCCCGTTTGAATAAAATTCCTTTCAGATCAGATTCAACCACTGCAAAAGCTCTCATATACATCTTTCATTCCCTCCTTTCAGAGAGACTCATTGTCCAGTTGTGGACTATGCCATAACTTTTCTAACTCAACCTTCCCCCACCCTCCCTAGCACTCCTTATTTTTCTTCCTTTATATTTATGCCTAGGTAAGCTTTCTAAAAAACTAAGCAAATTGTGTTACCTACTCGAGATTGTACAATGTTTACATGTTGCCTAAATTATGAAAGATGAAAGACGAAACCTTTAATTTTAATATCCTCTTTCCCACTTCAGTCTTAACTTTGACCACTTTTTGATCTGTAATATTCACATCAGCTAAAACGATCTGTGTATGTTATTATAAAACTATAATTTTATAATTATAAATCTAAATTATAATTTTATACTAAAACTATAATTTTGCACAGAAAATTTTTTGAACAGAAAAATTTGTTTGTGTTTTTAGCTATCTGGACTTCTATTTCATCTACATTTTCCAATTGGCAAAATTCTCCCAACATTTAAAGACCATCATCCAGTTGACATGGGTGAAATAAATTTCTTTCTTCTTAGCACTTTCTCATTCTTATTTTATTATATATAAACATTCTCCTTTATTCTATTGATATACTCTTATTCATTTTATATCCTTCCTCTAGCATAAGCTTTTCAAAGATGGCATTTTTTAGTTAAACTTTTGTTTTTGAGAAAATTATAGATTCAAATGCATTTTAAGAAAAAATACAAAATGATTCCATGTACCCTTTACACAGTTTGCAAACAATAAAACTTTGCAAAATTATAATACAATATCACAACCAGGGCATTGATATTGATACAATATACCAATCTCACATTGGCCCAGTTTTATTGTATTCATTTGTGTTTATATTTTGTTCCTTAAATTTTAACAAATATGTAGCCATGTATCCATCACCAGAATAAAGGTACATAACAGTTTCATCATCCCAACAATCCCTCCTGTTGCCTTTTATACCCACATTCACTTCCTTTCGGCCCTCCCCTTTCTGCTCACCCTATGCACACATATACTTGTCTCTAAACCCTAGCAATCACTAATGTGTTCTCCATTTTTTCTATCTTTGTTTTTCCAAAAATGTTATAGAAATGAAATTATAGACTATGTAAATGTTTGGAATTGACTTTTTCACTTAGCAGAATTTCTGGAGATTTATCTAAGTTATTAAGCAGATAAATGGTCTATTCCTCTTTATTGCTGAGTAGTCTTCCATGGTATGCATAAACCACCGTTCGGTATACCATCATCCATTGAAGGACATTTGAGTTGTTTCTGGTTGTGGGTAATATTAATAATGTTACTATGAACATTGTTGTAAATATTTTTGTATGATCACAGTTATCAATTTCTCTGGACTAAGTGCCCAGAAGTACAATTGTTGGATCATATGATAATTGTATTTTTTGTCATATGATAAATTGTATTGTATTTTGTAATCTGATAATTGTTTATTTTTATGAGAAACTAACATGTGTTTCAGAGTGACTGTACCATTTTACATTCCCATCTGGAATGTATGATCCAGTTAATGCAGCTTCTCTCGATGTTCACCAGCATTTGGTGCTGTCACTATATTTTTATTTTAACCATTCTGATAGGTGTATAGGGATCTCATGGTGGTTTTAATTTGCATTTCCCTAATGGCCAATGGCATTGAACATATTTTTATGTGCTTATTTGCATCTTTATGTCCTATTGAGTGAAATGTCTGTTTGTATCTTCTGACCATTTTCTAAATTGTGTTATTGTTGTTTTTTTAATGTTAAGTTTTGAAAGCTCGTTATGGATTCTAGATAGCAGTCCTTTTGGGTATGTGGCTTGTAAATATTTTTTGCCAGCTTATGGTTTGTCTTTTCATCTTGTTAACAGTCTTTCACAGAACATTTTTTATTTATTTTAATGAGGTCCATTTTATTCATTTTTCCTTCTATCAGTTGTACACTTTGTATTAAGTCTGAGAATGCTTTGCATATACTTAGATTCTGAAGATATTCCCTTTTGTTTTTTATGTAAAAGTTTTATAATTGCATATTTCCCATTTAAGTTAATGATCCATTTTGAGTAATTCTTGGATAAGGTGTTAAGTTTAGGTCAAGGTTCCATTTTTTTTTTTTTTTTTTTTTTTAAGAGCAGCAGCAAGATTTATTGTGAAGAACGAAAGAACAAAGCTTCCACAGCAGGGACGGGGACCCAAGTGGGTTGCCCTCAATATTTTTTTATACTTGTGGATGTCCAATTATTCTAACACCTTTTGTTTACAATTCTATCCTTCCTCCATTGAATTGCTCTTACACCTTTGTCAAATTTAGTTGGCATATTGAAGTGGATCTCTTTTTATGTTTTCTATTTGTTCCATTAATCTATGTGTCTATTCCTTCAATAGTACTATACAGTCTTGATTATTGTAGTTATAAGCAAGCCTCAATATTAGAGTAATTTCTCTCAATTTATTAATTTTTTTCAAGATTGTTTTAGTTGCTGTAGGTTTGTGCCTTTCCATATAAATTGTAGGAAAAGCTTGTTTATGTTTACAAAAATTTCTGTTGAGATTTTGATGGCAATTAAATTTAGTGTATGGATCAACACGGGAGAAATGATTCATAGAATCTTTATTTTGTTGGGTCTTCCAATCTATGGACATGGTACATCTCTCCATTTACTTAGATTTTCTTTAATGTCTTTCATCACCAACTGCCACATTGCCCACAGTATCCACATTGTCACTTTCTGCTTCTCACTGATACATTAAAATTATTTAGATTTTCAGTAATTATTGATATATTTGTACTCAAGATGTCATTTTCAATTTTTTTTTCTATTTGTTTCCTTTGGGGATTCTTTTTTTTTATACTTTAAGTTCTGAGATATATGTGCAGAATGTGCAGGTTTGTTACATAGCTATGCATGTGACATGGTGGTTTGCTACACCCATCAACTTGTCATATACATTAGGTGTTTCTCCTAATTCTATCCCTTCCCTAGCCCCCCAACCCCTGACAGGCCCCAGTGTGGGATGTTCCCCTCCCTGTGTCCATGTGTTCTCATTGTTCAACTCCCACTTATGAGTGAGAACATGCAGTGTTTGGTTTTCTGTTCCTGTGTTAGTTTGCTGAGAATGATGGTTTCTAGCTTCATGCATGTCCCTACAAAGGACATGAACTCATCCATTTTTATGGCTGCATAGTATTCTGTGGTGTATATGTGCCACATTTTCTTAATCCAGTCTATCATTGATGGCCATTTGGGTTGGTACCAAGTATTTGCTATTGTGAATAGTGCTGCAATACACATATGTGTGCATGCGTCTTTATAGCAGAATGATTTATAATCCTTTGGGTATATACCCAGTAATGGGATTGCTGAGTCAAATGGTATTTCTGGTTCTAGATCCTTGAGGAATCACCACACTGTCTTCCACAGTGGTTGCACTAATTTGCACTCCCACCAACAGTGTAAAAGTGTTCCTATTTCTCCACATCCTCTCCAGCATCTGTTGTTTCCTGACTTTTTAATTGTTGCCATTCTAACTGTTGAGAGATGGTATCTCATTGTGGTTTTGATTTGCATTCTCTAATGACCAGTGATGATAGGCCTTTTTTCATATGTTTGTTGGCTGCATAAATGTCTTCTTTCGAGAAGTGTCTGTTCATATCCTTTGCCCACTTTTTGATGGGGTTGTTTCTTTTTTTCTTGTAAATTTGTTTAAGTTTCTTGTAGATTCTGGATATTAGCCATTTGTCAGATGGATAGATTGCAAAAATTTTCTCCCATTCTGTAAGACGTCTGTTCACTCTGATGATAGTTTCCTTCTGTGGAGAAGCTCTTTAGTTTAATGAGATCCCATTTGTCAATTTTGGCTTTTGTTGACATTGCTTTTGGTGTTTTAGTCATAAAGTCTTTGCCCATGCCTATGTCCTGAATGGTACTGCCTAGGTTTTCTTGGGTTTTTATGGTTTTAGGTCTTACGTTTATGTCTTTAATCCATCATCAATCAATTTTTGTATCTCACTTTTATTGGCTTACCACGGGGTACTTAAACTTTTTTTTAGAATTTTATCTTGATTTACTTGTAGTACTTTTAAACGCACCTTCTTTGTACATATTTCTTGGTGGTTGCTATGTGTATCACAATATACATGTGTTATGGACACCTTTATTTCTAATTTTATCCCTTTACCTTCCCCACTTTTAAATATCATCACTTTGTGTATTACATGATGCTACAATTGTTCTTTCTATCATCAAATATGATTTCTAATACTTGAGGAAAGGGAAAGTCTATTATATGAACTTATATTTTTGTTCTTTTCATTATTTTTCTTACTTTCTGATATTTCAGGATCTTTTTTATTACTTTTCTGTACAAAAAAAACTTCTTTCACCCATTCTTTAAGGATGGATTTTCTAGCTGCAAAATCTTTTAGTTTTCTTATATTTTAAAAGATCTTTATGTGCCCTTCATTTATAAAGATTAATTTTGTAGCATATAGAATTTACTGCAAATATTTTTTTTCTTTTAGCACTTGAAAGATATGCCACTTCTGGCCACCGTAATTTCAGATGAGTCTGCCATCATGTAAATTCTTCTTTCCCTGTAGTCAATATGTTATTTCTTTCTGTTTGCTATCTGGATTCTCTTTTGGTCTTTAGTTTTTAGAAGTTTAATACTGATGTTTGTGTCTTGGCATGGGTATTTTGTGTTTCTCATTTGAGGTTCAGTCAGCATCTTGAATCTGTAGTTTACATATGTCATCAATGAAAACTTAATTTTTAGAACCTTTGTGGTAGTCTTTTGGTCTGCTTGGTTTATTTGGTGCCACTGGGACTCCTACTGGGCCTTCTAGTATTGCATGAAAGGGAAGACGGAGCTTGCCCAGGCCATGTCACCTCTAGGTTGGAGCCACCATCCCTTGGCAAAAAAGAGGTTTCAGATGTGGACCAATTTTTGTGGCTGGACCCCCCTTACTATTACTGTCCAGTTGCCTTTGGTGAAGGACAGTGTTCCCAGGCCCACAGAAAGAAGTTTCCTGTGGTTGGTGATTGCTGTAGCAAAATTTTCCTAGTTGATGCTGCCCAGTCAGCTGTGTCATTTCAGTCGGTGAAAGGATTCCCCATTGCTGCTGAGGAAGGAGAGGGTGTACTTCCCCTGACCCTTTGTTAATAGCAGGACTCTCAGGTGATGTCCTTGCTGGTGTCACCAGGCTTGTCTGGTGTTGTCGACACGACTCCTATTAGATCCAGGGAGGAGCCTGTGTGAGTTGCCTTCTCTTGCTAGGTTGATAGTCACAAAAGGCCAAGCTTAGGCTACTTCATTCTGTTAAGTTAAAAGGCACTTGCTGCTCTATTTCTCCTCCAGTCTGGGGTTCCTCACCATTCCCACCTTCCTCTTCATGCAGTTTATAAATCTCATTCAGTTGCCTCTTGCATTGTTTCCAGGAGTTGGACTTGTACTTTACTGAAAGAAGCAGGAAAAATAATATCTAGATCATATTGCCTGGATCGAAAACTGACATATTTGGAAACTGTCATAGCACCTTCTTCATAATATATACCCAGTATGTATGTATGGAATAAACACATGAAGAATGCCAAACTAAAATTTGTTGATGTTGGACCACAAGTATTTCTTGAAAGTTGCTAAAAATCACCAGCTTTTGCTTTACTATAATTGTTATTATGGCTGGGGAAAAATAGGACCTCTAGTTATCTGTCCTTTTGCATATCTCGTAATAGATTCTAACTCCTGGCTATTCACCATTGATTTACCTTGGTTAACATACCAGTCTACTCATTGTCTGCATACCAATCAGAAAGCTAAATGTCCCTCAGAGGGATTGATTGCTACAAAGATCACCTTACACTTTGAACATGTATTGTATCTATGGCTCAACTATGATAACAACAAAAAAAAAAAAACAGTAAAATTCTAGTAAGTGAAATTGAAGGAATATGTCTACAAATACTTTGCTCCTTTTGACCCCATTGTAAGGTCCGTGTTCATTAGCATAAAACATCAGCTCTTTCAATTTATTATCAGGTAAAACATACTGCTAAATAGACTTGCATGCTTAATTTCTCACACTGCAAAATTGCCGATTTCTAGTGTCTAGTTTATGTGTATTTTGTGTGTTTTTTTCATTATCCTCAGTGATTAAATTAGTTTCACAATTTATAACCTAAAATATAAATAACCAAAATCACAAATAACTTCAGGCTCCCTATAAGGAAAATGTTAAATGATTTTAATAAACATTTTATTCTAGTATTAGAAAACGTGTTTTCGCCATAAAACCAGAGGTATCCTTTGGTAGAGTATATTACTTTCTATTCTGGGGATCATATTTTCTATCCTAAATAATAGAAGTATGATTAAAAAGATTATGTGGATATCTGGTATCAGACATGAAGCTATCATATTATTCAGTGGTTTGCATGAAAATTCTTAAATGTTACCTCATATTAGTGTATTCATTTGACTACTCAAATTGAACATATCAATGTGATACCTTTCACAGTATACAGAATTAAATGTTATTCATCATTAAATGGTTTAGCAAATTTATTAGATTCTAATTATACTTTAATTGTACTCAGTAGCAGGTAAAGTGTTTGGTTTTAATTCTTCCATAGTAAAAACTACATTAAAATCTTGCTGAAAAGGCACGCTCTTTGCATTTAACTAGTGTTTCAATAAAAATGTTGACTGGATATAACAAACAAATGGCCTAATGGCAGAGATCTTTTTGACTAACAGGATTAAAAGAGGCTGGATGTAGTAAGTGGTATATATGCAATATAAAGAGACATTATACATGGCCTTTCCTATCTGTTTTAATTGGTTAAAGCACTCACTGCAGACTTATTTCTCAATTTCTGTTTCAATTGGTTAAAACACTCACCGCAGAGTTATTTCTCAATTTGGGGAAAGTAATTCTGCTCTCATTACTAGCATAATACCCACCCAGTAAAAATTGCTTCCCCAAGTGCTAGAGAAAAGAAAGTTTCTCTATAGAATTTCAACCTTTAAAAATTAATATCCCTTCTGAAAATGACTCCAGATGATAGAAATAATCTGTATCTTCATACATTTGCATTTCCATCCACAAACACTAAAATGATACAAATTTGACGAATAACATTTTATATTTTAAACATGAGATTTATTTTGTCTTTGTAACCATTAGCAGGCACATGGACTGAAGAGTCCTTAATCAGAACCTATTCCACAAATGTTATTCTGGACACCGCACTTTGACTGCAATTATTAGACAGTTTAAAACAGTGGAGGTAATTTTTAACCGGAAATCAAAAGGGTTTTTCTTTACTTTGGAATTTCAAAAGAGACACACAGAACATATATTTGAAAATAGAAACAAAAAATCCAACCTATGAAATCAACTCTCTAGTGTACTAAAGAGTTAAACATAACTCCTAAACAGTTAAGTTAAATATATATCCACCAAATTATATATAATGTCTTTTATAACTCTAGTGTTGTTCTGGTATTAACAACCAAATACAACCTACTAAGGAAAAAAAAGGTCTTATTTGTATAGGACAATTTTTAATAGAGTTTCTAATTTGGGGGTATTTTGCCCCCATTAAATGTCCTTCTGGTTACTTCAACATACCACAGTGAATCTATAAGCTGCAAAACACCAGTCTTATTTTTGCCTCAATAGCTCAAACCTCCGACTTTAGGTCCACAGTCTTCCTTCTTTGCTGCCAATTGCAATGACAATGATAAGGATGTGATACTTTCCAGCCATGCCATCAGTACAATGACAAAACCTAAGGAAATTAACTTTCCTATACCTGAACTTTATATAATCCTTCTATAGTTCTGTCACTTAGGAATAGCCTTTCTGAAGTGTTAGCTTAATCTGGCATAGTAGTGGCTAAGGTGGGAGATAAGGATGGTTGAAATCTATCCTGATATTTGCAGAAGGAAGCTTGTCTATCTTCTTCTGTTATATAACTTGGAGACTTCTCCAAACTATGTAAATACCTAAAATTGTCTATACTGCTCTCTCATTTTCTGTGTTAACTCTTCATCATTTATGTTCCTTCTCATCTTTATTGCACTCTAACCACACTGGCCTCCAGGCTGTTCCCCTGCTTCAGGGCCTTTGTACCAGCTGAACCTTCTGTCTGTGATACTCTGCCTCCTGATCTTCAGATGACTTGCTTCTTCAGCCCTTTCAAGTTTTTACTCAAATTCATCAATATAGATTTTTCTGAGTACCCACTGTAAACGATAAACTCTCTACACAGAGCATTCTTCATTGCCTTCCCTAGCTTCATTTTAGCCATAGTACATAATGGCTTCCAATATACTATATAATTCATTCAGCTACTTGTTGATTGTCTATCATACCCACGGTAACTAGAGCTCTACAAAGAAAATCCTTTTGATCTCTTTTGTTTACTTCTATATCCCTAGTGTCCAGACACATACCTGGAACATAAGAGATGCTCAACAAACCTTTCTAAAATAAATGAATAAAATGTCAATTGAAGGTCAATATTGAGTATGGAGTATAATGAAAGATATAGAAAATACATTATTTTTAATATATGATATGTATACATGTAAGAGAAGGAACTACTCTTATTAAAACTTTAAAACAAACCAGAATACCATTAAAAATTTAGAACTCTCAACAAAGTGAAAAAGACTCTGAAATATTTAGATTTGAATTTATTTGTACAATAAAATGTAAACAAAGGAATTCCATGTTAATAAATCTAATCATCTAAAAGACAAGAACATTAAAATTGACGTCTTCTTTTCTTTAACCTCAAAATGGTAATTATAAGAACCACATTTCCAGCTGAGAGATGAATAATCAGAAGGAGATTTAGCCTCATTAGTATCTTTTCTTTAGTTAGAAGAAATTTGCCTATTTAATATTTAGGGAAATCCCAACACCCATGAAAAATTCTTCTTCTTTTCTTCCCTTCGTTATTATATTATGTCCTTCAAGTTGTTAATAAGGTATATTGATTTATTATGGGTTTTACTTTTGCTATACTTTAGTCATTTATTCACAAACTATATGTTGCCTGTTTTTAATAGATTCTTGTTCTTTGAAGCATTCCATTTAAAATAATTATTTCTCCTAATTCCTATCAGCATTTCTATATTGGATATATTCTCTATTTTTCTAACTATAAATCAACAACAAAAACCTTGCCAATGAGTCAGTAATCACAAAATATGCATTACTCAGAAAGCTAGTATAGTAAAATACTGTAAAACAGCATTGTAGGCTGAATTGTGACCCCTCCAAAAATTTGTAATTTGAAGTCCTGAACCTTAGCAATCAAAATGTCACCTTGAAGGTAGGGCCTTTTCCAGACATAATCAAGTTACAATGAGGTCACTATAAAAAAGAAGAAGTTTAGAGACAGACTTATACAGGGAGAATGCCAAACAAACTTGAAGAGAGTCACTAATATGCCAAACAGAGGCCTATAACAGATCCTTCTGTCATACCTCTTAGAAGGAATCAACCCTGTTGACACCTTGATTTCTAGCCTCCAGAACTGATGAAATAAATTTATGTTGTTTTAGCCACCCAGCTTGTGGTACTTTGTTATGGCAGTCTGTGAATATAAAAAAAAAATTTACATTTATATGCAAAAAGAGTCATTCAAATCATGTTTTAAATTTGGTTCCAGGTGAAACAGTATCTGGAAGATAGAAGTGTTTCTAATCTGCTGAAAAGAATGGCAATAAGGAAGATATTTCAAAGATATTTTTCTCTATTTTCTCAAATCATTAAGAGAATTCTTTCAAAGTTATATGTTAATATATACACGGCGGGAAAGTCCACAGAACTTAAATTTGTCGTTTTAGAAAATCAGTAATGTCATAGAAAGTAATCTTTTTCAGGAAGGCCTATAACATTTGGTAATTCCCAAAATAAACCCCTAAGCATTTGACTTTCCATAGTTTTCAAATATGAATTGTGATAACTGCCTTGGCTAGCAGATCAGAAACTTTAAAGGGAATTACCTTCACTAACACTGTGGAATCGTGCATTATATGAACCAGTGAAAAAACTGAAAATAGCAGAAATATATAGGCACCAATCAACACGTCCCTTAGGCTTGATGTGCTTGCCACTCCTCTGGGGACTTTTCTTGTCCTTCATCCTTATAGTGAAAGCTAGTCTCCAATGTTCTCTTTCTTCCTCACAGCCAAAGGTGAATCAGACATGAAATGTACAAGTAGGAAAATGAAGCGCGTGTACGCACACGTGCACACACACACACACACACACACACAAACAATTGTAGTTCTTCTCCAGTTTTTTTCTGAAATTGCAGGGTTTCTAAGTAGACTGACTACTTAGAGTTTCTTAAGTTGTGAAACAGTACATTTTGCAAATGGAGAATTTTCTGGTGCTCAGAAAGTGTGTCTCCATTCCTTATATTCTGTGGATGGTTTCAACGCATTTATTTCTAAATTATTAAATAAAATTAGTTTTTTCTTTCATGTTTGTCGTGACATTCATATGAGACACTATAAAAGAAATCTAAAAGAGCCTATATAAATATTAACTATAAATATATGTTATTAAATTTTTATTAATCACATCAAATTTAATTCTAATTATAGCAATATCATATTTAATTATGATTAAATTAATTTTCTTAGAGCTTGTCTTAGTTTGTTTGGGCTGCAATAACAAAATGCCATAGATTGAGTGGCTAATAAACAACAGAAATCAGTTTCTCACAGTTCTGGAGTCTGGGATGTTCGAGATCAAGGTGCCCAAATAGCTGCCCTCTTTCTGGTTCTCAGATGGCAGCCTTCTCCCTGTTTCTTCACATGGCAGAGACAGCAACAAACCACCCTGGCGTCCCTTCTACAAGGGCACTAATCTTAATCATCTTTCAAAGTTTCCACTTCCTAATACCATCACCTTGGGGATTAGGATTAAAATATATGCATTTTGAGAGGACACAAACATTCAGTCTATGGCAGGGCTCTTTAATTTGTTTCAGTTACATTATTGAGAAATAATCTACGCTTCCCTAATGGTCCAAAATGTAAGCCAACCTGAAAAAGTTAGTTCTTATATTCATACTGAAGTAGTTGAGAGAAGGTTCTAGAGCCAGACTGCCTAGGTTTAAATACCACCTTTTCTACCAATACTTAAGTGAATTTTTAGTTTTCCTCATCAGTAGAATGGAGACGTCACATACAGAAATGAAGAGCAAATGAGTCAGTAAACTTAATGTTTTACAAAACTTGGTGAATAATAAAAAGCTAACTATGCATTGGTTGTTAATTCATTTTTATGTTGTCCTCTTTATTAATATGCCTTACGTTGAATTTAATTCTAAAATAAATTAATCCTAACTAGATGTTGCAACTGTCTTTTCAATTAAGCCCTTAAAATAAGAAAGAACTGCTACTTTCCTTTTAAGAAACAAATCCTGTTAAGCTTTTATAAGTATTTGGGAGATGAACGTTTCTGATGTATTCAAACAAGTGTATAGCTTGAAGGAAAGTTGACCAGGCATAGGAGAGGCACAGGAGTGCTGCCTCACAGATCAGCACGGGGAAGGTGTTCTGAGCACGGGGAATGGACAAGGATAGAAAACTACAAGTAGTTTGCTTTCATGAAGCAAGGAAGATGCAGTGAAGGAAGTTGGTATTTTTGGGTCAAGAGGCACCATACCAAAAATCCAAATGGGCTTTTGATGCTATAGAAGTAAATTGAAACTTCATCCTGGTGCTAAGGAAGATTTAAACAGGAGAGTACAATCATTATACCTGATTTTTTTTCTAAAACTCTCAGGAGTAATGAGAATATTTCATTTGAATACTTTATTGAGAGCAGTGTGTGTGTGTGTGTGTGTGTGGCAGGGAGAAGTGGCTGGCAAAGGCAGAAATGGAAGAGGCTGAAAACATGAAGAGTAGTAAAGATACTATATTAAAGGTATAGAACAGTGAGGGAGTAGTCAGCTTAATGATGGGTATCCCCAAAAAATAACAAGTCCTAATCCCTGGGACCTGTGAATGTTACCTTATATGGTGAAGTTTTACAGATTTGCCTAAGTTAAAGATTTGGGAATAAGGAGATCATTCAACTATCCAGAATTATCCGAGTGAGCCCTGAATGTCATAAAATGTGTTCATATGGGAGAGAGGCAGACAACTTTGATATACACAGAGGGAGAAGGAGGAACCAGAGTGACCATGGAGACAGAGACTAGTTGATGTGTCCAAAAGCCAGGGAATGACAGCAAACACCTGAAGTGGGAAGAGGCAAGGGACTAATTTTCCCTAGAGCTTCCAGAGAGCACAGCCCTGCTAAAACTATAATTTCAGCTAATTGAAGCTGATGTCTGATTTCTGGACTTCGTTACTAGGAGAGAATTTTTTGTTTGTTTGTTTTAAGCTAACAAGTTTGAAGTAATTTGTACATTGGCCACAGAAAACCAATACAGATGTTCAATAAAATTTGTCATAAATGACAAACCTACTTGGTTTTGGCACTTTTGTTTCTCAGATTGAGAAGGCTTTGGAGTCCCTGAGACAAAAATAACTAAGCTATGAATGCCTTTATTACTCACTTAAAGGTTTTGACAAATAAAGCTAGAACATTGAATAAAAAGAGGTGAATAAAAGGACTGTGAATCAATTTAATTTACTGTAAGCTATTCTAATATTTGTAAAATAAAAAATACTATCAGTTTTTTTCTTCACTAGTAAAGCCTTTTGCTGACTAGCTTCTTGTGAGGATCGAATACATTGTCTAGCAAATGACTCATTCAATTCACACATATAAGAAAAAATTTCATATCCATATGCTTTCTTTTGAAATATTCTGCCCTTTTATTCTTAGTGATGAGGCTTACAAAGTTGTTTGAGTTTTGTTTTTAACCATCATGTGTATCTATGTACAGTCTTTCCTCAGTATCCGCAGGGGGTTGGTTCCAAGACCCCTGTGAATACTGAAGTCCTCAGATGCTGAAATCCCTTATATAAAATAATGTAGTATTTTCATACAACATACACATATCCTCCAGTATACTTCAATCATATCTAGATTGTTTATAATACAGTGTAAACAGTTAATATGTCATTTTTATTGTTACATTGTTATTTTTATTGTTTTTTTCCTGAATATTTTTGATTCACGAGTAACTCTAATATTGGTAAAATAAAGAATACCATCAGTCACTCATTTGAATTCACTGAGGCGGAACTCACAGATATGGAAGGACAACTCTATACATTTAGGAGACTGCGTTCTAAGAAACTAAGTACTGATACAGACATTTGTTTCGTATCAATGCCCTTTAATCAATTTAATTTTCAGAAAGTGAAGGCTCAGTGCAACCCTGTTTCACCAATCACCCAGCCAGATATATATGTAGAAGTATTTCTTTCCAGTATGTAAGCAGGGTAATTTAAGGTCAATCCATAACCAAATCATCCTTTTCCTTCTCAGGAATCTTCCAATACTGATTCTTTCTTATATTTCCTGGATCTTCAGCAAATATATCTCTATGAGAGTCTTCCAATGTATATATAATCATGCTGGAATGTTCCCAACTTAAAGATAAAATTCTTCTTATCCTGATTTATCTCTAATTAAAATCACACCCAGTGTCAGCAAAGAGATTTTACTGTTACTGTCACCACATCCTCCCATGAGAATACTTACTGCTCAGTGAATTCCAATAATCGTTATTCATCACCTTTCCCACCACTATTACACAAAATGTCTCTCTTTGAGGTAAAAATGACTTTTGAGTCACTCAATACAATGAATGTTTTTCAGACATCCTACTTGACTCAATTTAATCCAAAACTATCTACACATACTCTTTCTTAAAACTTTTATTATTGACTTCCTTAAAACCGCAGCCCTAAATCCTCTGTTTTATACTTCATGTCTCATTGCTCCTTCTCAACTTTTCTATGGACTCAGCTTCATCTACTTAATCTCTATATATATGAATTCCCACAATTTTTGTTCTTGGCCTTATTTAAGTATATTTCCTCAATCCCACCAACAACTTCAGCTACAATCTAGTCACAAATGACTTCAAATGTATTTCTTCTGTTCAAGAATCTTCTCTAAGTTCCAACTGCTGAGATTCTCACAGACATTTTAAACCACTTTACTGAGATATAATCACATAAATTCAATGGATTTTAGTATATTCAAGATATAGTTGTCCCTGGGTATCTGTGGGAAATAGATTCCAGGATCTTCCATAGATACCAAAATCTGTGGGTGCTCAAGTCTTTTATATAAAATGGTGTAACATTTGCATATAACCTATACACATCCTCTTCTATAGTTTAACTAATCTGTAGATGACCTATAATACCTATATGTTGCCTACACTTCACTTCATTTATTTGGATTCAACATAGTACTCAGCATGCAGCAAATTTAAATCTTGCTTTTTGGACCTTTGTGAATTTTATTTTTTTAATGTTTTTGATTCACAGTCGGTTGAATCCACAAGGTGATGAACCCACATACACCGAAGGCCAACTATATGTGCAACCATCACTACAAACTAATTTTAGAGTATTTTACATCTTCTCAGAAAATAATACATACCTTTTATCTATCATCTCTCCATTCTCCCAACCACCTTTCCAGGCTTACGAAACTACTAATCTACTTTCTGTCTATAGATTTCACTGTTCTGGACACTTCGCATGATATGGAATCATGCTTTGTTATCTTCTGTGACTGTTTTTTTCCCAGTTATATTATGCTGGAATAATTTTCATTGTATGACTATATCACATTTTATTTATCATTTGTTACTTAATAGACACTTAGGTTATTTCCATCATTTGGCTGCCATCACATTGAGCACAGGTTTTTATATGGCATATGCTTTCTTTTATTTTGGGTATATGCTTGGTAGTAGAATTGCTGGGTCATATGGTAACTCTACATGAAATCACTTTGGGAAGTGCCAGACCATTTCCTGAATTGGCTGCACCATTTTGACTTCCCACTAGCTGCGTTTGAGGGTTCTGATTTCTCCATATTCTCACCATCACTTGTTATTATCTAATTTTTAAAATTCTAGCCATCCTAGTGGATGTGGAGAGATCCTTCAAATTTAACATGCCTCAGTCTTAACTCATTATCTTTTCCAATCATTTAAGTTTGGTCTTCCTTCAGGGCTTCAAATTTCAGACAATGGTACTTAAGCTAGGAAAAAATATTGCTTGTTCCATCCCTGTCATCCCCTATATTTTCATCAATCACAGAGTCCTGCCCAATGCACTCCTTAAATATCTATGGGATTTATTTTTCTTTTCTCAAGTGTGTCTACCCTTAGTTAAGCTACAACCGTGGCTCACCTAGACCAGTAAAGATCCTCTTAACAGTCTTCTCAGATCTCTTCTCTTTCAATCCATTTTCTGCTCCAAAGGCACACATTTTTCAAAGAAAATGTATGTTACTCTGATGCTTAAACGTCCTCATTAACTCTCCATTGTTACTTATGTAAGGAATAAGGGCCTTAAATTAACCTTCAAGTTGTCAGCATGATCTGGACTTCCTCATAGCCACTGACTGTCCTGCATTCATTTTTCTTCATCACACCTTGTTCCTCTCTCAGGACTTTTTAATAATCACTTTCCTATGACTTGCAGATTTTTCATCCACTTCTCTCTGTGGATTTATTTCTTATTCTTCCTTAAAAGTTCAATTGGTTATTTCCTCAAGAATAGCTCCCTATGATAAACTTTAATAGCAATATTTTTATATCTGTAACATTCGTCATAATTAAAATTACATGCTAATTGCATAATGAATGCTAGCTTATTTTGCCACTAGAATGTAAGTCCTGTGAAGGCAGGGGAAAATAGAATGTTTGACTTCTTATCTGCTCTAATTCTAGTCATTAACGATATAGAGAGATAGATAAAATATGTGTTGAATGATCAAGTTAATAACATTTTTATCTTAAGCAAACTGATATAATTTGAGGAGTTTGCAAAGTTTGCATATTTCATACTTAAAACTTTACCTTCAAAATATTATCAAATGGTTTATTGTGATGCTGAATTATAATGATGACTAATAATTATAAAGAGATACAATCTTGCCTCTTCCTAATTCTTTAAATCTTTGGACTCAAATGTGCTTTATAGGAACAAGAAGCAATGTTGGACCCTTAACAGAATACTCAGTAATATTCCAAGTAAGGAAAACAAAGATATATAAGTAATTCAATATAATTGCCTATGTTAAATATCACTATGCCTGTAGATAATATCTCTGTGACTTTTTTATTTCATTCATATAAAACTAAAAACGTATAAAACAATTCAGTATTTATTCAATACATATATACTTATCTCTGCACTGTACAATGAATTGTAATTACACATTCATAAATATTTTGTTACCAATGGTTTTAAGCCCAATTCATTCCAGAGGCAACTATACTGAATTATGAGAATGGCTGGAGAGATTATTTAATGTATTTAACCTGAACACATTTTCATTTTAGCTATTTTAATAGCAATTATTCATTTAAATTACAAAGATACCATTTTAATAAAAAAAGTCCAATATATTATCTCTTCCCTCAAGGGTCATTATATAAAATTTCCCAATTAATTTAGACTTGCATCTTGACTGAGCCTTTCAAACTACTCTGATTTTGAATGTCAAAGCTTTCTGGGTCAAACCAGTACATAGTTCATGATTTCAAGCTTTTTATTAGAAATCATGCCGTGAAGAGTGGAAAGACTATCTTAAGAAGATGAAAATATAGGGCAACATTGTGCAAAGATTTTAATAAGGAATCCTAGAAATAGATAATACACATTTACAGCGCAAAATAGATTCTATAGCTATTTATCTGAACATGAATATATATAAAGATTTTCCATCTACTCAAGTTTTGCCAATACAATGCTGATCCCATTCTCTCTCTTTCTCTCACTCATTAGATGCTATGGAAAATATTATAAAATAATAAACAAAATAATCATAAGATTTCCCTTTTATATTCAAAACAGAGGCACAATATTCATTTTTTACATACAGCATCAGATATTTAATAAAAATTTCTAAAATACAGTGTTTTTGACCAATAATTTGTATTGAATCAAGTGACTACTTAGTCAAATAACATTCCAGCCATTCAGGTATTTTCACATGAAGCAAAGTAATATTTTAGCACCAAAATTGTAAAGAAGTTACTTTTCTTTCTAGATAAATAATTTTCATTTGTATGATGTGTAGTTTTAGAGAATAAAACAATGATTAACTGAGATTGATACTTTAAGACACTTTTCATTAATTAAGCATTTTAGCTACTATATACATAATAGGTATAACAGTAGAAAAAAATTGCCAGGGAGAAAATACCATAACTTAAAAAATAATAACTAATAAATGTATAAGAAACAATAGTGAAATGTAAAAATATCTACAGTTGTTTTACAGAATGTAAAAATATCTACAAAAATATCTACAGTTGTCTGCCTTTGTTACCTACAAAACCTTACTAAACAAACTTCTGAGGCATGTGCTTTAGAAAGAAGAAAATTATTCTATAAAGCAAATATGACATTCTTTTAAAAATAGAAGTATTAGTAACCAAAAAATTTACTCTTTCAAAATATCCTGTGTATTCTATTTTACAAAATGACTTTGTCTTTTCCCCATATTTGCCATGACTTATAATGCTATGAAGACCTGGAGAAATTAACAGCACTAATTAAACAGTGATATGGTTTGGCTGTGTGTCCCCACCCAAATCTCAACTTAAATTGTGATAATTCCCATGTATTGCAGGAGGGACCTGCTGGGAGGTAAATGAATCACGGGGGCAGGTTTTTGCCATGCCGTTCTTGTGATAGTGAATAAGTCTCACGAGATCTGAAGGTTTTATAAAGGGGAATTACCCTACACATGCTCTCTTGCCTGCTGCCATGTAAGGCATGTCTTGCTTCCCCTTCACCTTCCACCATGATTGTGAGGCCTCCCCAGCCATCTGGAACTGTGAGTCCATTAAACCTCTTTTCTTTATAAATTTCCCAATTAGCAGCATGAGAACAGACTATAAAGTAAATTGGTACTGGTAGAGTGGGGTGGTGCTGTAAAGATACCCGAAAATGTGGAATCAACTTTGGAACGAGGTAACAGCCAGAGGTTGCAACAGTTTGGAGGGCTCAGAAGAAGACAGGAAGATGTGGGAATGTTTGGGACTTCCCAGAGACTTGTTGAATGGCTTTAACCAAATTCTGCACATCTCAGATGGAGATGAGCAACTTGTTGGCAACTGAAATAAAGTTGACTATTACTATGTTTTAGCAAAGACACCGGCAATATTTGCCCCTGCCCTAGATGTCTGTGGGGCTTTGAACTTGAGAGAGATGATTTAGGGTATCTGACAGAAGAAATTTCTAAGGAGCAAATCTTTTGAGAGGTGATTTGGGTGCTGTTAAAAGCAGTCAGCTTTACATATTCAAAAAGATAGGGTTTGGAATTGGAACTTATGTTTAAAAGGTAAGCAGAGCAAAAAAGTTCAGAAAATTTGCAGCCTGATGATGAAGTAGAAAAGAAAACCCCATTTTCTGAGGAAAATTCAAGCCAGCTGCAGAAATTGCATAAGTAATAAGGAGCCAAATGTTAATCCCCAAGAAAATGGGTAAAATGTCTTCAGGGCTTGTCAGAGACCTTTGCAGCAGCCCCTCCCATTACAGACCCAGAGGTCTAGGAGGAAAAATTGGTTTCTTGTGCTGGGTCCACGTCCCCTTTGCTGTGTGCAGCCTAGTGACTTGATGCCCTGCATCCCAGCTGCTCCAGCGTGGCTAAAAGGGACCAAGGTACTGCTTGGGCCATGGATTTGGAGGATGCAAGCCCCAATCCTTGGCAGCTTACAAATGGTATTAAGTCTGTCAGTGCACAAAAGTCAAGAATTGAGGTTTGGGAAACTCCACCAAGATTTCAGAGAATGTATGGAAAAACCTGGATGTCCGGGCAAAAGTTGACAGCAGGGGCAGAGCCCTCATGGAGGACCTCTGCTAGGACCGTGTGGAAGGGAAATGTGGGGTTGGATCCCCCACACAGAGTCCCCACTGGGGCACTGCCTAGTGGAATTGTGAGAAGAAGGCCACTGTCCTCCAGACCTCAGAATGGTAGATCCACCAACAGCTTGCTCCGTGCACCTAGAAAACCCACAGACACTCAATGGCAGGCCATGAAAGCAGCCAGTAGGGGAGGCTGTACCTTGCAAAGCCACAAGGGTGGACCTGCCCAAGACCATGGGAACCCACCTTTTGCATTAGTGTGACCTAGGTATGAGACACGGAGTCAAAAGAGGTCACTTTGGAGATTTAAGTTTTGACCACCTTCCTGGATTTTGGACTTGCATGGAGCCTGTAGCCCCTTCATTTTGGCCAATTTCTCCCATTTGGAATGTGTATATCTACCCAATGCCGGTACCCTCATTGTATCTAGAAAGTAACTAACTTTCTTTTGATTTTACAGGCTCATAGGCAGAAGTGACTTGCCCTGTCTCAGATGAGTCTTTGGACTGTGGACTTTTGAGTTAATGCTGGAATAAGTTAAGACTGAGTGACTGTTGGAAAGGCATTATTGGTTTTGAAATGTGATGACATGAGATTTTAGAGGGACCAGGGCAGAATTATATGGTTTGGCTCTGTGTCCCCACCCAAATCTCACCTTGAATTGTATAATCCCCATTTGTCATGAGAGGAGCTGATTGGGAGGTAATTCAAACATGGGAGCATGTTTTTCCCATGCTGTTCTCATAATAGTGAGTAAGTCTCATGAGGTCTGATGGTTTTATAAAGGGGAGTTCCCCTGCACATGCTCTCTTGCCTGCTGCCATGTAAGACGTGTCTTGCTTCCCCTTCACCTTCCACTATGATTGTGAGGCCTCCCCAGCCATATGGAACTAACTATGAGTCAGTTAAACCTCTTTTTTTTTATAAATTACCCAGTCTCGGGTATGTATTTATTAGCTGCATGAGAACAGACTAATACAGTCAGCCTCACTCTACAACCTTCATCACTATTTGGCTTACTTACTATAGCAGCTAAGGTCTTATTAAATCCATACCCATTCCATTTTTATCCTTAGTTACCTCTTCCTTCATGTCAGTATCTTTCACTATGCATTTGTCCAATCTGCGTCATCACATTAAGGGAAAGCTTGCGTGCCTCTTGCATTCATTTTTTTCTTCTTCTAAGAGTGTCATACACCAAAGTTCACTTTCATTCCTAGTACTAAACATTTTTCACTTATGCTTTATTATGCAAGCCTTCCCTTCTCATTTTTTTCAAAACCCTTAAAACAATCTTTATTTTGTTCTTTGACTCTTTTTATTACCTTCTTCTATTCTTTTTGCAGTCAAATTTCTGACATGGTTTGTGCCCCTTACCCCAATGTTCTATGCACACACATCTTCAACCCCTGTGCAATATCTTCTGTTCCTACCCACTAAAGTGGAACTGTTCAAGGTCATCACCCAAGTTGGTTCACAAAATCTAATAACACTTTAAATGGCATATTTCTTTCCTTTTGTTCTGTATTTCATTCAGTTGGTGACGTTTCTCTGTCACAAGAAAAAGAAAACAAGACACCTTTATTACAATTTCCTCAATGGGTTCTCTTCCTAGTGTCCTATCCTGTATCTTTTCATCTTCTCAACAATCTGTTTATGACAAGGATTTCATAGTAGTGCCTTCAACTCAAGGAAAGTGGAACCAGCTGATTCTTTTACTTCTGTACAAATCTTCAAGTCCTGGATCCTCTATTTTTGTGTTCATCTGGATGTCCGTGAGATTAAGAAATACTTTCTAATAACATGTACTGCAGAGGCTTGTTGTCTGCATTCAGAGAGATAGTGTGCATACAAAATTCCTGACACATATTAAGCATTCAATAAATGCTAGATAAGATTGCTACTAGTCGCTGGGCACAGTGGCTCATGCCTGTAATCCCAGTACTTTGGGAGGCTGAGGCAGGTGGATCACGAGGTCAAAGATCAAGATCATCCTGTCCAACATGGTGAAACCTTATCTCTACTAAAAATACAAAAATTAGCTGGGCATGGTGGCATGCGCCTGTAGCCCCAGCTATTTGGGAGGCTGAGGAAGGGGAATTGCTTGAACCCAGGAGGCGGAGGTTGCAGTGAGCCAAGATCACACCAATGCACTCCAGCCTGGCAACAGAGTGAGACTTCATCTCAAAAAAAAGATTGCTACTGGTATTGTTTGTTAAATACACAAATATATAAAAACTAGTTTCTTCTTTTGTTGTCTATCACTTCTACCATGACAAAATATTATATCACCTCTTTTCAACACAGTAATTGTCTACATCCACTTATTGTTATCCAATAGGCTTAATGAATTTTTCTGTCTTCCAATTTTATAATGGAAAGACTTTTTGAAATAAAACATAGTACCAACGTAAAATATCCATATGTATTTATGTCAATGGTGGTATTTAGTATTGGTAGGGCAGGTGTTGTTTCCCATTTACTTTCTATTTTATTCACGCCATATTTATATTTTGGCATTAATTGCATATGATTCCATGTATTCTATAGCTCCAGACATATTGAGCTATTAATAGCAATATTCTGAGTGCCTCTGATTGACTAAATTGACCAGATGCTGATCCACTTAACAGCAATGAGGCCTTCAGCACACTTTTCCCCATTTCTTGATTAATACTTTGTACAAGACTGAATCAAATTCTTTCTGAAGTCAAGATAAATTATATCTAATGCTTCTCCCTGATTTACTATCCCATTATTCTGTCAATAGAAAGATATCTGCTACCACTGTGACAGAATTTGTTCTTCATAAAGCCCCGTGTGTTTCCCAGTATATCATTTCAGCCTAGGTGTTTAAAAACAGGATTTTAGCTCTTTTTTTGAAGATTATTTTATAGCTGTAATTTTAAGGGTGGGACCTCTACTTTTTTTTTTTTTAAAGTCTTTATTTTAACCCCAAGAGCTCTCAAAGAAGCTAAAGACTAAAATTATACTAGACATTCCTTCACATTTTAGCAGCTTAATTAAACAATCTTTATATATTCTTCCTTTACTTGCATTTTTCATTTTCATTCATAAATTCTGTATTGCTCCCCATAGTTTTCAGATAACAATTGACTGTTTCTGTAAATATTCAAAGAAAGCACTAATTTTTTATTTTTAAGTAAGCATAGTCATACTTTAAATAAAGACCAATGCTTTTTTTACTTTTTGTGCATGACTAATATGTTTACAGAATGTCTGTCACACATTGCATCCCTTTCCTTATGTGAGTTTGCTGTATTTTATCTATAGAATGATATTGGTATTTTGTATATCTTGACTTATTTTATACTTTGTATGATAACTTCACTTTGGCCCTGATTTATTAAACAGGTTGTCATTTTTGCATGGCATTCATTTTTGGCAAATATTTGTTCACTATATTCAGTTGAGTATTAGTAATAGAAGATGATGAAAGAAGAAAGATTTTAATGGGAAATACCAGTTAAGGTATTCAACTATCTGTTGAATCTATACAATGTTAATTCCTACCTTACTATTAATTTTCTTCATTTTTATTTACATGTGATTTATATTTGATATTTATATCTTCTGCATTTTGCTGCAGATAAATTCAAGGTGATACACATAAATATATAGATTAGCAAGAAGAATGAAAAGCATTTAAAATTGGGACAAAGGGAAAATAAAGTTTGGAAAGAAACAGAACCAAAATGACCTTAGAATAAAATACCTGTTCAGACATGAGCCTCAGATTTAAGCATAAGCTTCTGGCAGTCAACACAGAGAAGGAGACCAATCAGTTACAAAATATAAAAGCACATATTAATTCTTCAAGACAATTCTAATATTGCTAAACTGATATTGGAGAATCTCCATTGTGCAATGTCCACCCCAGGGCCTGGCTCCTAAAAATTCTTCAAAGATTAGAAATTTTAAAAATGAATGAATGGATAAATATGTTAATTATTATTATCACATTTTTATAATGCTTACAACAAGTGCAGCAATGAGCTTTAAAGAGCAATTTCTTGTGAGAGACTTCAACATGGGCTGATGCCATCATTCCAAACCCTATTGTTTGAGAGCAAGTCCAGAATGAGGTGAGAAGGATTCATTCTTTGTAGTGGCTTTCTGAGGGTTAGATGTTAGAATAGCTGAGGAAGCAAGGCACATCTTTCAGGTGTACCTTCATAACTATTCAGGCAGTGAGTTTAAGATCTCTGCTCACATTCAGGCCAGTATGGGCCTTGCATTAAACAGCCAGATAAGAGTGAGAAAACTGACCTCCTGAAAAATTTCAAAGAATCTGCCACAAACACAAATGGACAGAAAGATTGTTTCATTCAAAAGATAGTCTTAGTCTGCTCAGACGGCCATAACAGAACACCACAGACTGGATGGCTTAAACCACAGACGTTTATGTCTCAGAGTTCTGGAGGCCAGAAAATCCAAGATCAAGGTAAAGGCAGATTTGGTTTCTGGTGAGGGCTGTCTTCCTAGCTTACAGACAGCCCTGTTCTCACTGTGCCTTCATATGGTGGAAAGAGAGAGCAACCTCTGGCCTCTCTTCCCTTTTCTATAAATACTCCAGTTCACCCTCAAAACCTCATCTAAACCTAATTACCTCCCAAGTCCCTATCTCTAAATACCATCACATTGGTAGTTAGGGCTTCAACATAAGAATTTATGGGGAGGAGGGGAGCACATAAACATTCAGTCCATAACATACAGAAAGAGTATTCCTTTCTGCACAATTTGACAAAAGTGATTAAATAATGTTTACTACATTGAAATATCATTGGTTGGATATTTTCTCTGCTTATTTCAGCCCCCAAGTTATCAATCTTATTCTTGGTATCATGATTATGACAAAGAGGGCAGGCATTTAATTGATATGTAGTATTAAAACACCTTTTTTTTTTTTTTGAGATAGAGTCTCGCTCTGTCATCCAAGCTGAAGCCCAGTGGAGCTATCATAGCTCACTGCAGCCTGCAGGCTCGAACTCCTGGGCTCAAGCAATCCTCCTATCCTGGCCTCCCAAAGTGCAAGGATTACAGGTGTGAGCCACTGTGTCTGGCCCTATTGTTAAAAACAGTGAACCTGGAGCAGTGGCATGCTCCCGTAGTTTCGTCTACTCAAGAGGCTGAAGTGGGAGGAATGTTTGAGCCCAGGAGTTTGAGGCCAGCCTGGGCAACATATTGAGACCCCATCTTTAAAAAATTGATGGAAATTTTATGATTCTTGCTCCCCTGACATTCCCTAAAGTTTTTCCACCCTTAGACTACCAGAAACCATTGTGTGACCATCAGGAACTAAATGGTAAGCACTTGACCAAACATTTCGGTGGTCCAGAATTCTTTCATACAGTACTTAATAAATGATTGTTATTATCCTCAATTGTCAGGAAGGATTAAATTAAAAATACTTCCAAACAAAACAAGAATCTATAAATTGGGCCTTAGCTTACAGGTTAAATAATATTGATTCTTCTTCATAATGTCAGTCATCATCATCATCATCATCACTGTCATTATTGTTTAAGTCCTTATTTTGTATCAGATCTTTTTCTAGGATTTTCATATTTGATTATCTCATCCAATAGTTACAAAATATATCTGAAGTGGATATTATTATGCCAATTTTACAGATAGAAAAACTGAAACACAGATACTAATTATTTGCTAATATGTGACAGAGATTGGGTTAGAACTCACAGCTTCCAAAGAAGAAATGGTTATCTTGAGTAATCTCAAATGAGAATCAAATGAAAAAGAGACAATCTACCCCCTTTTCTGTATTTACACTTTAGTGAAAAACACCTACAAATCTAATTAGGTTAGGGTTTGAGATTACAGGAAACTAGCCTGCTCTTCCTCTAATATTCTGAAAAGCTTAGCAAAATTTTTAAAAGTGGATTTTGTTCAGCATAACTGAACAAATGAAATGATCAACTGAATGATCTGACATTTTATCCCATGTAGACATATACATGAGAGTGATGGGTACAGAGAGCCACTTGCTGGCAGATTTTAGAGATAATAGTAGTATAGTACAGGGCACTTTTGGAAAATAATTCCATGCTATCAACAAAGAGTGGGAGTTACTGTTAAACTTGTATTATTTCTGGGCATAACCAAGTGACTCAGGTACCAGAGCTATAAATCTGGCCTTTGTCAAGTACAATAAATTTACCTGCAAATATTTCAATGGGGAAAAATTTGAGCTTATGGTGCTGGATACTAAATGTAAAATCTTTATCTCAAAAGACGACAAATTGAGAATCAACACTGAAAATGCTTGTCCTGGAGACAGTCATAAATTTTAGAAAAATTCCATAAGTTAAAATGTTGACCCAGTAATAGTGTTTTGTGGCTCTCACATAGTTTTTGATAGCAGCTTTTAACCCAAATATCAAGCCTTTTATGACCATTACAAATCTCTGACTTTCTATTTTCCTGGTTAAGGCTTTAATCTTGTCAACTTCCTATCCTTCATCCACAGAGAAAAATTTTACTTTTGAGCATGTTTGAGTTATAGATGTATTGAACCGGATGTTGACACAAAGAAGAATGTTCTAGTGGCCTCGTTCTGAGTTCAGAAAAACTCATTCATTCATTCATCATTCAGCAACATTAATTGAGCATCTAAAGATTCTACTATTCTTTGGAAGGGCTCCATAAATAAAACGGGAAACACTTGAGTATATAACTTGCTTCTCCTTTGTATCTTTTTTGTCCGCATCCTCTTGTTTTGATTCTGTCCATGGGGATTCATAACTTGGAAATTAAGCAAATCTTAGCCTTCTATGACCCAACTTCTCTGTTTCCCCCATTGTTACCAAAATTCTAACAAACAAGTAACAATCTAATGATTTCCAAAGGAGAAAGATGCTATTGGTAAAATGGTTAATCAAATTTCCAGGACTCAGAGAGAGAAAAAGCAAATAGCTTAGCTTAAATATAAACTGGATAGGCATCATATATTAAAATATGTTTTTAAATATCCTGAATATTCATGAAATTTTCTAGAATTATATTTTAAAAATAACCTATAAATTATAGTTCCCTCTGGGTAGAGCCATTGAGGGGCTAGGGTTCAAGAGTAGGAGAAAAACTTTTTTGTGCTATTTGAAATTTTACCCTGAACTTAATTTACTATTCTAAAAATACAAGAGAGAATTAATGTATTATTTATTTTCTATGTAAATTTACCAAAATATTTTCCCCAAATCTCCCACAAACTAAACAGCTTTTTGCATAATCCAAATGCAAAATTATATAAATTCTAGTAGTATATAGTCAAAATAAGATAACTAATAACAACTCCAATACATACACAAGTAAATATTCCTTAAAATGCCACTTATAACAAGAGGTAATTATTCATTTCAATACTTCAAATCTTAATTTGATTTACAAAATTTGGTATGTATTAATTTTATATTTATGGTAAAGACATTGGACATATTATAGACAACTTCCCTATTGCTTGAAAACAAAGTTGACGTGTCTATATAAAGATAAAAAAAGTAATATATATTTCTCAGAATTATCTTAAATGCATACATTTTACAGGTCAGGTGAATAATTTAAAGATAAGAAAAAGGAAAAACTTTATTTTGCACAAGGTCAAAGTAAGTAAAATGATTTACATGTTAAAATTGTTCAGTGGCTCACGCCTGTAATCCCAGCACTTTGGGAGACCAAGGAAGGAGGGTGGATCACTTGAGGTCAGGAGTTCAAGATAAACCTGGCCAACATGGGAAAACCCCATCTCTACAAAAAATACAAAAATTAGCCAGGTGTGGTGGCACATGCCTGTGGTCTCAGCTACTTGGGAGGCTGAGGCAGGAGAATTGCTTGAACCCAGGAGGCAGAGGTTGCACTGAGCCAAGATTGCACCACTGCACTCCAGCCTAGGCAACAGAGTGAGACTCTGTCTCAAAAAAAAAAATTTTTTCTTAATATAGAAATAAATTAGAAATAACATATCTTCTTATATGGAAATTGTTAATAAAGTTGCATTTGGATGTATTTCATATTATTTGATTAACTGTGGACCTCTAGTCTGAGGAATGTATCCAGTATTCAAATGACACACTAATAAGTATTTTCCAGTCTCTAAATTGCTCTATAAAGAAATAACTGATGGCCACAGTGCTTCAAATATCAAAAACAAGATAATATCCAGTTTCACTATTTTTTCTTCAAATAACATAAGAAGAGAGTTTGAGTGAATAATCAGTTTGCTTCATTTGCTGAGGTTGCATTCACTAGATTACACATGCCAAAATACGCAGAATGTGAGCACATGAATACTTCTTATGAAAAGAAAAATGAAAGCCCCTCTCTCATAAATGCTTTTCTCACCAGCAACAGATTTTATATGAAAGGGATAGTACTTTCTCTACCAACTTTTTCTATTGCTTTTCAGGTAGCAAATAGAGACTTACTAAAGTTAATAATAGATATTATACAGTATTTGCTTTACTCTAACTGAAATAATGTGATATGCTTCAGCCCCTTCCCCCGCCAGATTGTTTTTTTAAAATTCTGAGTAATGTCTGTTCAGTCACCATAAAGACGCTACTAATATGGGCTGTGGCCAAAGACCCTATGTGCCTATGGTGTTCAGGACAGTTTCATACTGTGAGGGCTACTATTTAGGTGGGTCACTTTGGTGCAGCTGTATTGGTTCTTAAAACATTGAAATGCTCTCTTACAGGTAGACATATAAAAGCTGTTCCGCTAGGTGCAGGCCTCTACCAGGTGACCGTGGCCTGCCAGCATGTAACCATCTGGCTACTTAATGCTATAGTCTGGCTATAATCAGATAATAGTCTGGCCTCACGGAAGTCTCTTGTATTCAGTTCCGGTAATAACAGTGCTCTCAATCCTGATTGGATAGAATGGTAAATATTTTGAATATCCACTCATTGAACAATGAAAACTATTTTCATGTCCTATAATGACTTTGAAGTGTCCAGACAGTCAGACACCAGAGCTTTTACTTGGGTTCTCTGTGATATATTTTACTGCAATCACATCATAACATAACGCAATTTTAAATGATACTACACATACAAATACAGCCTGGCACATTTGCATGAATACAGTACCTCATTTTTTTCTTCACTTCAAGTAATGTATCTTGGAGTGTAAATTCTACTTCAATTGGTGTTATATTCTGCTTTCTTCTCTAAGAAGTATGTCATTACTCATTATAACACTAATTTTATTTCAATATTCTATGCCACTGCACTTTTTCTTTTTCTGTATTCTTTAATGTAAAAGGTTCTGACCTTTTTTAAATTTAAATTTACTCATTATAAGCAAACAAAAACATCAGACTACATTTTGTCTTCTAGTGTATTCATGCCTGATTATGTTTATATCAAAATTTATATTAATTTATCATAAATTATTTCTCTTTTATATTTATATTTTACATAGGCCACTATAACGTTTTTCTATAATGATTTTAATGTAGATTATGTTATTTGTGTACTTTAAGTTAGTAGATGAGTCATTAAAATTGCCTTTTTAAAAGAAGACAATGAGTTTAATAGGGTTAATAACTATTAGGATAAGTTAATTTATTACAAATTAATTTTCAAATTAGTATATGAAATGAAAGATTACACAAATAATCTGATTTCCTGTGCTCTGAAGTTGTCTTCAATTATAATAGCTAACACTTATTACCCCATCCCTTACTGTCACCAAGTACCACTGTAAGCATTTTACATATATTAACTCATCCAGTCCTCACAATACTTTTATGAGACAGTATTCTGATTAGCCTTATTTAATGGATATGAAACTGAGGCATAGAGAAAGTCAAAGCACTTAGCTAAAATACCTATCTGAAGATTTTTTAAAAAATTAAATCTAGTGGGTTGGTTAGAATAGGTAGGCGAACACTCTGAGAACAACTAGAGGGAAAATATATGTATATATGGTACCTATTAGCCCCTATGCTCACTACCTGGATGCAATATACCGAAGTAGCAAACCTGCACATGTACTCCATAGACCTAAAATAAAAGTTGAGATAAGTTAATAAAGCAGTACCAGCTGCAGAAACAAAGAAGAGACAGAGTACAATTTCAGAGAGGTGAGTTGAGGGCTCAACTTTTTCCAGGGGACACTTTTTAATTCTAAACCCAGCTAGAAACTGAGATTCAGGGGGCTAGGCAGACCAAAATGGACATGGAAAACAGCAAAGCTTTAGGTGGCCCCACTCGCTGGAGTGGACAAAATGGGGAAATTGAGGACATTCAGCTACATGGCTGGGTTCCCCCTCAAGATATTTGATAAATTACGCAAGTTCATAAAGCAGGAAATTAGGAAGCTAAGCCAAAACCTCAGAAAAGCGGAGTGGTATTTCCTAAAGTACTTGAAAAACAGTTCTGTCGGAAAGACCCAAGAATGCTGAGTAAAACAGCTGGGAAGGAAGTGGTGAATTAGGGTCTGCAGTGGCTCTTCACCTGGGCACACTTGCCAATTGGCCAAGCTAGTAACTAAGAGTCCAGGCTTGACACCTGGGAGAGAGTCACTGCTTCAGAAAAGTAATACTTTGAAATAAAAACAGTTATTACAACAAGAATCTATGCCTTTTTGGTCTCATTGAATTATTGTTTTTTCTGCTGAAGCTTTCTGTTCACTTTCTGCTGCTCTTTTTCCCTTTTCATCATCCATCCTTTGCTTCTCTCACATATGCCATATGCAGTCAAAACTAGTATTTAGTTATTTTTGGATAAGAAAAAATAGCTTAGATTTGTTTATTTTTCCCTATGCTATGGCAATATTCTACACACTTTAAATGTAGAAACTAAGCACAAAACAACACCATGAAGGAGTGCATTATTATTCTTTTTACATAGAGGTAGAC
This sequence comes from Homo sapiens, assembly GCF_000001405.40. NCBI lineage: Eukaryota > Metazoa > Chordata > Mammalia > Primates > Hominidae > Homo > Homo sapiens. The sequence goes on along the minus strand of NC_000004.12, from coordinate 96,057,426 downwards.
ATTGAGGCACAGAAAGGTGAAACAACTTGCCCAAAGTCAAAAGCTAATATGTAGCAAAATTGGGATTCAAGTCAGGAAATCGTGCTCCATAGTCCATGCTCATAACTAAGAGTCTCTACATTCCAACTCAACAAAAGTCTGAAAAGAGATGTACAGAAAGGGAAAGCTTCAATAAGTACGGTAAATAAGGAAATACATAGTATTACAACCATATCAACGACAGAATCAGAGCATTCATCCTGTACTAAAATAAAGATTTTTCACTCCACAGGTTATAGTTGGTCTATTAACCAAAGTTCAGTTTATTAATATGTCTTTTAAGATAGGGTTTGTGCTGGACATTCAGTCAACAGTTTTTTTAGTGAAGTACAGAGTTGCTTTTGAAGGCATGTGAATCAGACATACTTCATTTGGAAACCTTACTATTGTATTTGTCCACGTGACAATGGGCTAAACTCAGCCTCTCTGAGCTTTGGTTTTCGTATTGAAGCAGGATATTTCCCGGACCACTTCATGGGACGCATGACAGGGGTGCTCCATTTACTCAGCCCCCAGCTCTCAACTCCTCCCATGAAGGAGCACAGGCGCTAACGAGGCGGGAACTGGAGTACATGAGCACTGGAGTCAGCCAGCCACTCTGGTACCAGCAGGAGCAAGCTCTGCTCACTCAGACCTGTGTGTTTTATCCCTCACGGGAGGGGGCACGCAGATGAGTGGATGCAGGGGCTGATACATGTGCCTTTGGGCGCCAACAGGAGCCAACTCCATGCCAGCCCTGCCACAGCATCTAGGGGGTTTCTCTTGACCCCTGAAGCCCCAAAGGGAGTGCTGCAGTGCTCTTTTAGCTCAGCCATCCATGGACGGCTTAAGTGTTAACAGCTCAGTGGACCCTTTGTCTTTTCACATGAGGCAGCTTTCTTCCACCAGCGAGGGGAAAGGGTCAGTGTGACAGCCTTTGCATCTGCACTCATGGCTTCCGAGCTCTTGTCTGGTGGCCGGGGGAGATTAGGTTGCATGAATGAATTGAACAATGGTAAATGTGGGGGATTTTATTGCTGATGAAGGTGACTCTCAGCAGGAAGGGGAGCTAAAAAGAGGACAGGGCAGGAAGGTAATCTTCCCCTGAAGTCCGGCCATCTCCGTCTGGATTCTTCTCTGCAGTCAAGCTGCTTCTCTCCAATATCCAGCCATAGTCTCCAATGTTCAGCTGCTACTTCTCTCTGCCAGCTGAGTTCTGGAGTTTTTATAAGCATAGAATCGGGGGGTGGGCAGGGCCATGGGTGGTTTTGGAAAAGGCAACATTTGAGCAGGAAAACAGAAATGTAAGTTTTCACTTTGGGCCATGGTCTCAAGCCTTTCAACTTGAGGGTGGGCCTTCGCCAGGGACCTGCACTTTTCTACCTAGAATTTCTCCGCCTCCTGTCCCTATCATTAGTTATAAAATTAGAAAAAGAATAATTCTACCTAATAAATTTGTTTTGAGGATTTGATAAAATTATATAAAAGACCCTTTTAGTGCAGTGCCTATCAAACGTGCTTAATACGAAGCAGTTATTTTATTATATGTGTGTGTAGGTAGATACATGGCTAAGAAAACAATAATTTCTTAGAAGAAATGCCAATAAAACAATAAAACACCTCATAAATAAAATGCATTTTAGCATGCTTTTCCTCTGGAGAAATAAATAAAAATCTTTAGATCTATGATTCATAGCAATCCTCATATAGACAGCATAGTAATTGGAACTGTGATATTCTTGTATCATGAAAATCATACTTTCCAAGAATGTGTGAGAATCCTTTTATGTTGGCTAATAGAGCTTCAACTAACAAATTATGAACTTGGAAGAAGCAAAGCTGCAAGATAGAAATATGACTGTGAAAGCATAATTTCTTAAATAATAAATTTAGAACTCTCTCCTAAATAACTTTTGCTTCATTTTAACATAATTGCCTCTCTTTTTGCCTCTTTATTTTTCTGAAAAAGCTGAAAAATGCAATGCAAGAGGTTATATGAATATTTTGAGAGAATGCCAATGACTGAAAATAAAATTTATTCCATGCTTGTTATATTTCAATATTGCTTTCACATTTTTATTGTATTTGTTTTTCAGATGGAGAGACTGAGGTGTAGAGGGGCTTGCTTTATGTCAGATTTTGTGCTAGGAAACAAAGACGGAAATTTGAATTAGTCATGATCTCAGCCTTCAAGGAACTCTTACTCTAGCAATGAATATAGACACATACATGAAATGATTATAAAACTGGGTGGGTGTATAATGGGAATGGAAGAGCCAAGCAGGATGGGTCTCAGGCATTCCAAAGAAAAGGCACCAAAGGCATCATGGAGAATCAGAAAAGGCAAGTTAGCAGACAAGGAGACCAGTTTTACTTTAAATCCTCTCCTGTTAAGAGATTTTCAGAAGCCATTAAACCTGAGTATCTATACATCCAGTATTGCTACCATGAGGACTCACTCTTTGTTATTTAATTCAGGCATTTTGGCTCAGAAGAGTGATGTGAAGGATCTTTTGAGCTATTCATTCCTTCTTGGTTCTCAAAGAGAAAAGGAAGAGATCTCAAAGAGATCTCAAGGAAGTTAGTAATGAACTTTGTTCACTTGTCTGGCGTATCCTTTTTACTGCCTTCTTTTTACTCAATACATATGTCTGGTTATAATTCTAGGATATTTGGTATATATAAAAGCATAGTTCCTGATTAAGCACATTTTGTAGAAAATAGTCAGTTCCCGCTCCTAATCTATTTATTTTCTAATTGGAGAACTTACATGAGTACAGTAAATAGGAAACAAAAACTATTTCATTTCTGTTGGAATGGCTTATTAAATTTGACTATTTGGTGTGCAGAAGGAAATTTTTACATAATAGATTTCATTATATAAAATACTATATCTTGGCCAGGCACAGTGGCTCACACCTGTAATCCCCGCACTTTGGGAGGCCGAGGTGGGCGGATCATGAGGTTAGGAGATCAAGACCATCCGGGCTAACACGCAGAAGCCCCGTCTCTACTAAAAATACAAAAAATTAGACGGGCGTAGTGGCGGGCGCCTGTAGTCCCAGCTACTACAGGCTGGGAGGCTGAGGCAGGAGAATGGGGTGAACCCTGGAGGCAGAGCTTGCAGTGAGCAGAGATCGCACCACTGCACTCCAGCCTGGGAGACAGAGTGAGACTCTGTCTCAAAAAAAAAAAAAAAAAAAAAAAAACCTAAATCTTTCATATTCCAACTAAAAGTATAAACAAAATAAACTAACAATGGCAGATACCCAGTTGACAGTCCTCTGCTCTACCAGCGGATCTATTAAAGGTAGTAAGGAAGAGAAGGGAAGGGATGAACAGAGGGAGTATAGGGGATTTTTCAGGCAGTGAAATTCTTCTGTATGGTACTAAAATGGTGGACAGGTAACATTACACATTTGATTCAACTCAAAGAACCTTAACATAAACTGTAGACTTGACTTAATAATGTTCCAATATTGGTCCATCAATTGTAACAAATGTACTACATTAATGCAAGATGGTAAAAATAAGGGAAGCTGATGGTGAGAGGAGAGGGAGTATAAGGGAATTCTCTATACTGTCTGCTCAGTTTTTCTATAAACTGAAAACTACTCTAAAAAATGAAGTCTATTTAAAAATTAAAATGACAAACTGAGGGAAGTTTTGTAATGAATTGATAAAGAATGAGTAATATTCTTGACAAATAGAGATCTAATAAATCGAAGATGATTTCAAACATACTAAGGACATAAGCAGATAAATCAATAATAAACATATGAAAAATATTGATATCATTAATGAAAAATTACACATTTTTCACTTATTAAACATTTTATAAAAGTATGAATTATATAATTTAAAAATGTTTAAGTGAGTATAAAAATACTCAATATACTTAAAGGTGCAGGTAAATGGGCACTTTCAAATCTGCAAGAAAAGCATAAATTAAGTTTGTAAAAGTTTAGAAAGCAATTTGGTAATATATATCCAGAACATTTATTCACTCTTCTCTACATACTTTTTTTATTCACTTATCCAACAACTATTCTGAAATACCCAATGAGTCTATAGAACTAGAACCGCAGCAGTAAGCATGGCAAAAATTGTCCCCCAATGTCATGAAGCTTAAAATTTAGTGGAAAAGACACTAAAAAATTTCAAAAAATTAATTCTTCATTATGATTGCTGTGAAGAAGGTGTACAAAAGGGTTTAACTTTATCTGGATTGTTAAAGAGAAGGAAATCAACTTCAAGGTGAGACTAGAAAGATAAGCAGGAGTTAACTAGATGAAGGGAGTGTGACTCAGTATATGAAAAGGAAGAGCATAATTGAAACCCTATGTCATGGAAGAGCGTGATAAGCTCAGGGGAACAAAAGGGCAGTACAACTGAAGGGAGACAGCTGCAAGGAGGATTTGGCCACTGTGAAAGTCTCAGATATTAAGACCAAACAAGGCATGTGGAGACCTGAAGTCTCATGGCAAGTGTGCCCAAGAGCCTTGATAGAGGAAATTGGTACATGTGGTGAGGGTTGGGGCATGTGAGGAATGCTATAAGGGCACCATAGTGGAACACAGACACATAAAGAATAATTTCCAGCCTACACTCCACTATTCAGAGGCTCGCTGTGTCTTAATTGAAATTTTCTGGGCAAGCAAGTGCCTATGACTGAAGTAGGTGATCCTGTGACAAAAGAGGATAGGCCACAGCTCCATAGAGATTATATTTAAGATGCTGGGATGAGAGAATATGAGATGAAACTATGGAGTATGGTGTTTAGCAGGATTAAAACTGTGTGTGCAGTTTGTGGGTGGGGAAAGAAAATGAGACACTGAAGTTTATTTCAGAGAAATTTTAGAAAGTTAGGCTTTAAGTTGTAAATACCACTGACTAGGAACTTGGTATGTGTACATTGATGGGAAATATGCCAGTCACAGGCAGTTTGTAAAATATAATTAAAGGGGAGGGTTTCTAGATGGGTGGAAACCAGAGTTCTCTAGAAAGTGGTATAACAGTTGGGAGTAAATGGTGCTGTGTTCCCAGCACATCATGCTGGAGGATATTTTTTTTCTTATGCTGGAATCTGCATCTTGGTTCTTTAAATGATTTGGTGGGAAAATTTTACTGTAGGAAATGCTTGATGCCTGTATGGAACAGACTAAAATTTAACTGGGTCAAGGGCTCCTAAAATGGGAAATGGGAGAGGGTGGTGAAATGTTTATATGCTACAAACTGTTCTATTTTTGAGCTTGGATATTGTACTTTCTCCTAATATATTATTATTGAAAGTAAAATATTCTGAACACTTTACTTATTTTTGTCCATTGGCCCTTTATCTGATATTTATCAGCTACAAGCAATGCCTAAATCACAAGTGGTATCTTGTGATCATTTGTAGATTGTAGACATTTGTATATAAGCCCAGATCCACATTACCATTTTTACATTCCTTGCTACTCTTTATCCCCGCCCAGGAGCATCCAATTTCTGGGTTCTAAAGAAACTTAGCTGTAAGTTAGGGACCACGCATAGCTGACTGCTTTACTCAGCTAGCAGAAAAAAAGAAACGAAAAGAAAAGAAAAGGAAAGAAACAAAAGAAAAGAAAGTGAAAGAAAGAAAGAAAGAAAGAAAGAAAGGAAAGAAAGAAAGAGGGAAAAGTACAAAGAATAAGTCAAAGTAGTACAGAAAAACACGTTTTTAAGATCAGATGTTAAGAAAATGTTTAAAAATAGAAAAATTAACACTGTACAGTCCATCATGATGTACTACCTGTTATTTCAAAAATGTAGCTGCATGCCTTTCACAAAAGTATAGCATTATTTCTTTAGGAGTTTGCTCTAAAATTATTCAGAGAAAGAGTGGTCCATAGATTTCTGAGTGCAGCTCAGTTTGCAATATGAGCAAATGATTTCTCTATTCAATGTCAGAAATGAAAGACTGTATATTTTCCATAAGATGGTTGTCTAGTACATTTGTTTTGAATTGAGGGTTTTTTTTCTTTTAGTATCTATGCATGTGTGTGTGTGTGTGTGTGTGTGTACTTTTTATACCTATTTTTGTCAATGTGTTTTCTTTGTAATTATACATAGAAATCTAGAACTGTGGGAGTTTAAGGGAAATCTTAAACTAAGGGAAATCTAGTATTTATGCATTAGGCAAGTTCAATGCCAAATGTCACAGCACAATTAACTCCCTCCTTCCATCTTTGACTGTTTCTGGTGTAATAGTGGGCCACCAGCATTCTCCACAGAAGAATGCCAAAATGGATTTAAGACAATTATTTCTTTCAAGCAAAGTCAACCCCCAGATCATCCTGAACTGAAATCACAAAATATATATTGGATTTCCAGACCCACTCCCCATTGTATTGCCTAAGGGACACAGCTGAGTTCTCTCAATCCATTGTATTCACAATTTCTCTTTGCATTCAGACTGAGAAAACTGGGGATATGAAGGTGTGACAATTCCTTCATTCAAATCGTAGCCCTGAAAGTAACATTTTCAACAAAGTATTCAGACATTGCCTTAGGAAATCATTGAAAAGGCAAAACATTAGAGGTTTTAAGGTTAACAGTACAATCTAAATAGAAGTTGGTACTGAATACAGGAGCTTTTACTTGAAAGGAGTCGATGGCTCAGAAATATGATCTGCATGCAGCCTAAGTGACAACTTAAACAAAGAAAGCTGCTAGGCTTAATTCGAATGGATTCCATGAATGTGTTGTAGTATTATGAACTTGTTTATAGTAATAACACTAATGCATCTGCTCCATCTTTGTGCAGTTACCTAGACTACATTGTTTGACACTACCATTTTGTATTAACCTCCATCTTCTGTGCTATGTCTGTCATTTCTTTCACTATAACATAATGTGACAGAAGCTTCATTTACCTAAACTTATCTTGGCAACTTGTACTTCATTAAAGAGAATCTTGCAAGCATCAGTTAAGGCTTTCTTATCTGGCCATGCATAGCCAGGCTTCATAAATCATTCTTTCACTTTCCATTTTGCAGCTTCTCAAAAGGTAACATTATTGAATTCAGATCACTGGAAAAGAGCAGTACTAAAATGTTTATTGAGCAGCTTTTAGACATTAAACTCAGCTTTAAACATCGATGGTAATATTAACCAAAGCTTTTGGATGTAAAACTCAAGTCACTAGTTTACACAGTGCTATAAATACTCTTGATAGCAGCCACTTTAGCAAGTTGGTATCAACCTAGTGAAGAAAAGAATATTGTTAGCCCTTGGTTGCCCATTTCTTACTGCCTGAACTTCTTTAATATATTTATGTTAATTTAAGAAGATAGTGTTATCATTTACCTACGACCATCCACTTTGACTACTCTATTGGTTGGATAGTAAAATCCACATATATTTTTTAGTTTCTCCATGTACGTGATATCATGCTGTATTTATTCTTCAGTGCTTGGCTTATTTCACTTAACGTAGTGTCCTCTAGGTTCATCCATGTTGTGGCAAATGACAGGACTTTATTCATTTTATGACTTAATATTATTCCACTGTGTATATATCACATTTTGGAATTTATTCATCTGTTGATGAACACTTGGGTTGATTTCCTATCTTGGCTATTGTGAATAGTGTGACAATAAACATGAGAGTGGAAGATATCTATTTGACACACTGATTTTCCTTTGGATATATACCCAGTAATGGGATTGTTGGATCATATAATAGTTGTATTTTTAATTCTTTGAGGAATCTTCATATTGTTGTCCATAATGGTTGTACTAATTTACATTCCCACCAACAGCATGTAAGAGTTCTCCTTTCTCCACATCCTCCTCAGCATTTGTTATTTTTTGTCTCTTTGAAAATTGCCATTCTAACTGGGGTGAGATGATATATCATCATGGTTTGATTAGCATTTCCCTGCTGATTACTGATGTTGAGAATTTTTGCATATACTTTGACCAATTGCATATCTTATTTTGAGAACTGTCTATTCAGATCTTTTTCCCATTTTTTAATCTGAAATTTTTTTTTGTTTTTTTTTGCTATTGGGTTGTTTGGGTTCCTTACATGTTCTAAATATTAACCCCTTGTCAAATGCATAGTTGGTGAATATTTTCTCCCATTCTGTAGGTTGTCTCTTTACTCTGTTCATTGTTTCCTTTGCTGTAATAAGCTTTTTAATTTGGATGTAACCTCGTTTGTCTATTTTGCTCTTGTTGCCTGTGTTTTTCAGGCCTTATCCAAAGAATTCTTGCCCAGACCAATGTAATGAAGCATTCCCCTATGTTTTATTCTAGTAGTTTCGTAGTTGTTTCAGGTCTTCCATGTAGGTCTTTAATCCATTTCGAGTTGATTTTTATAAGAGGTAAACTAAAATAATGGTTATCAGAGACTGGGGAGAAAAGCGGGGAAATGGGAGAGGTTGGCCAATATACAAATTACAGTTAAATAGGAAGAACAAGTTCTGATGTTCTATTGCACAACAGGGAATACAGTTAACAATAATATATATATTTCAAAATAGCTAGAAGAGAGGATTTTGAATATTCTTATCACAAAGAAATGACAAGCATTTCAGGTAATGGATAAGCTAATTACCCTGATTTGATCATTACCTAATTTATACATGTATCAAAACATCTCACTGTACCTCATGAATATGCACGATTATGTGTCCACTAAAGGTAAAATAAAACTTGAAAAAAAAACACATATGAAGTCCCTTTTATGTCCATTTCCTGGTAAACTTTGCACTCTGCTTTACAAAAGTTTGTGTGTCTGGTTTGTTCAACTGAGAATCAACATCTGAGACTTCTTCAGCAGCACATTCTGGCTGGCCTTTTACTAAAAGGCACCAAGGACAAATCTCATCCCATAGGCTTGTATACTTACCTGTAGAAGCATTATCATGTTTATGCTTGAAAATGTATGGTCTTTGAGAGCATTGAAGATTTGTCATCATAGAAAAAGGAAAGAACCTTGAGAGCCAGAAATTGTATGAAGTTTGCTTTTATGGGGAAATAATTATTTTCATGTATTTAATATATTAGTCTGGTCAAACAAGAAGTACTATCTTGCTCCCTTCATCTTCATCCCTGTGTCTCTTGATATAAAGTACTTAAATGAGTACATGCCAAGTAATTAAGGTTTATTTACTTTGGGTCATGTAGGTGAAACTCTATTTTCTGCTGCATATATGTCTAGTCACCTGCAATAGACTTGTGTTTTTACTGACAAAATGAAAGGAATTGTGATTTTTACACTGTTCATTGTTTTAAAAGCAATTATATTATGATTTTAAAGGAAATCCCTAAAATGGTAGATTACAATCACTAAAAAATTTTATCTAAATAATGTAACTTTGAAATCATAGGACTTTAGATCTGGAAGTAAACTTATGGAAGATCTGGCTCAGTTGAGTCATTTTAACTATGAGGAAAAGGCTTTTAGGTTTTTTGTTTGTTCGTTCATTTAGAAACAGGGTCCCATTCTGCCACCCAGGGTAGAGTGCAGTGGTGCTAGCATAAGTCACTGTATCCTCGAATTCCTGGGCTGAAATAATCCTCTCACTTCAGCTTCCTAAGTTGCTGGGACTACAGGCACACCCAGCAATACCCAGTTAACTGTTTTTTTGTAATGATGTGGTCTCACTATATTGTCCAGGCTGGTCTGGAACTCCTGGCTTCAAGAGGTCCTCCTCAGCCTTGCAAAGTGCTGGGATTTCAGGTGTGAGCCACCACACCTGGCCTCAGGCTCTTAATTTTAAATGATTTGCCCAGTCTCATAGAGCAAGCAGATGGCAAAGGTGGAACTTATAAGATTCTGACAACAATTACAGAGTTCTGATCCAGATTATTTTTAGGTGCTAAGTCATATCAAGATGATAATTTAATCTCTTAAAAATGAGCCTTTGATAAGGAATATCAACTACAAATATGTATATTTGTAACATAAAGGTTATTTCTATAGATGGATTTGCAATTATCATAGGCAAAAGAAAATCAGAACTGCATACAGAAAGTTACTTTTTTCCTTATGCTACATCTGTAGACATTTGATTTTTATCACGATAGAGAAGGTTTGAGTTCTTATATTGCTTAGCATAGTAGAAATAGCAAAAATAAATAAGTGTAGCAAAAGGTAATTTCTCAATGATTTCTATGTATGTTTTCTACTGACAGTAAAAACAGCACTTGGGTAAATCAGACAACAGTAGATTTAGAAATAATATTGGAAGCTATCTAGCCCAACACCCACCATTTACAGCAGAGAAAATAGAGGTCTGGTTAAATGACTCATGCAATGATAGTGTTCTCGCCATTATAACACACTATCCCTTTAATCTGCATAAATGAGAGATATTTATCACCCATTTATTAACCCACTGACTGTGAGCAACAACTGTGAAGGGCACTGAGGAGTTCCTCAAGGAACTCAAAATCGAATTGGGAAAATGAACATTTAAATAATGAACAATAACATAAGAAATTTCTAATAGACACAAACTGCAAAGAAAACACAATAGGAGCAATGAATTATTCAAAGGATTAAAAGAAAGAGTGCAGAAACGAAAAAGAAGAGTGGGAGTTTATCAGGCAGAGAAGGGGAGAAAGTCTTTCTAGATAAGAAAATACAAAGGCAAAGGTACTGCATGGGAAACCTTGATCGTGTTACCAAATAACCAATGACCCCAAGGGACACTTTAGACTACTAGATCATTATCTTTTAAAAAGTCTGATTTCCAACACTAAATAAATATAAAACCACTATTTGCTTAATTTCAACTTCCTATGCTACCTCCAATATATTAAATGGATGGTAATATCTTCTTATATCTTCTTTTTTTTTTTTAATGTGGCAGATTGGGAAAGGATTGTGGAGTGAGACAGACCTGGAGTTCCATCCCTGCTCTGTTTAATATTTGTATGGAGTTTGATGATTAAATTTTAGTTCCCCATTTCTCTGAGATTTAAAGTTGAACTAAATAGTACTTAATCCCTAGGGTTATTTGTGCCTAGTTTTTGCTACAGTGCCTACCTAACAATGGGTTCTCAAAACATGGTAGCTTCAAACATTCACTTTAATGACATTTTAATCTACAATTAGAGGTAGGGTATTTTTAATATAGAGTATAGCCAGATACGAGAAAAACCATCTGCTCCTAAAATCAACATTGAAAGATAAAGCATAGAAAGAATGTCCAGATACATGAGAGAACCTCTATATCTGTTCCCTGCAGAGTAATTATTATGCAATTAATATTAACAAATACTTTGAATATCTGAAATGAAATCTCTATGTAAGTTCTAAGTATAATTTTTATTTCCTCTAATTATACAATGAAAACATTATTGCTAGTATTTCTAATTATAGCAGTCTGGATTACTAAAATTTTAAAATGAACTGTTTCCCTTAACTAGTGTAGCCTTACACAGATATGTATAAAGTGAGTTTCTGTGCACAATATCTAAAATTAATATGGACCCTAGGTGCAGAGCAATTCACAAACACCCTCATATTTCCTCACAAGCATTCCTGAATTTTTAACAGTAACCTCAAGGTATATTTTAGTACACTCAATGAAAATCAAAACCTTGTCCATTCTGTAGCAAAGTCTTTTACAACCAAAAGACAGCAAATACTAGGGAATATGTATTTTCTTATCACATATTCTGCAAGAAGATGGTTCTCACGCTGCCTGTGAGACCAAAGTTTTTCATACAGCATTACTCAAATAACATTTATTGTATATAATGTTCCCATATTCTGATTCCCACTCAATAGAAAATTTAAAACAATATTTATTCCTGCTTTGCTGAGATTACAAAAGTCTAGAAAACTATTTAACAAAATGACCTTCCCTTTCATCTGGATCCTAACCCTCTGAAAAAAGGAAACATATATGAATTTGTCCCTTAAATTAGTATTCTCTTCCTGAGTCAAAGGGCCCTTTGTAGCAGACAATGAGATTTACTTATAATAAAAATGAAATTACTTCAATAAATAAAAGTTTATTCTTCACATACTCAGGTTATCAGGGAGCTATGGAGTTGAGAGAGAGGGAATATTTCTCTACGTAGTCAAAAGCAATAAGCTAATAATTCACCATTTGATAAATCATTTTAACTTCTTAAACACAAAGTGTTAGGAGGTTTTGTTGACTTTTCTAGAGTTAATGACCAATGACCTCTCTGTCCCTATTAAGGGACTTACTTTCTATGAAGTCAGAAGGAAGTGTAGTGAGATATTTTGCTTAAGGAATTAGAGTTCATTTAATCTGTGAATAATTACCAAAAGTCTGTTTACCGCTTTTTCCTAGGCACACGGTTAGTGAACCGTGTGCCTAGGAAAGGTTTCTCAACCCCTCTTGCAGTCAGATGTGGCAGAATGACTGAATTTTTGTCAATGAAATATAAATGGAAGAGATGTCATCACTTTCAGACCTGGGCCATAGGATTTTCCTATGTGTAAGCCTTATGCTTTCTCTCAATCCAGCAGCTGCATGAAGACTCTGGAGTGGGATAGAGTCAAAAAATACAAGAGAACTGGGTCTCCAAATGATGATGTGGAACAGATCACTGGAGAAACACAGCTGTGTGCATATATCTACACACACGTGGGTGTGTACACATGTGCATGCATGTGCAGGGACACAGTGACAGGAGCAATGCATTTGTGTGTGTGAAGTCACTGAAATATTTGGTTGTTTTGGAGAAGGCCTTACTACTGCTCACAAATATTTCTTTTATTATGTTTCTATGTTCATGAGAAAATGTTCTCCCCGACTTTGAAGTTAATTGTGGTCATGTGAACTGTTTTGGCCAATGACATGGGTGTAGAAATGATGAGGGTCACTCATTTTAATGCATTTAATTGGTGAGATAATGGTCTCCAGAGAAATAAATCAGTGTTTCTTTAAGTCTCTGAATTGTGTAGGTTTCATATTTCTGTAGAATAAGCTAGTGTATCTGACATTTTTAAATTTTAATTTTAGATTCAAGGGGTACATGTACAGGTTTGTTACCAGTGTATATTGCGTGATGCTGAGGTTTGGGCTTCTGTTGATCCCATCACCTAGTGCCCAGAGGAAGTTTTTCAGCCCTTTCTCTTCTTCCCTTTCTTCCTCCTTTTGGAGTCCCCAGTGTGTATTTTTCCTATCTTTATGTCCGACTGTAACCAATGTTTAGCCTCCACTTATAAGTGAGAACATACGTCATTTAGTTTTATGTTTCTTCATTAATTTTCTGAAGATGATTTCCTCCAACTGCATCAATATTGCTTCAAATGACATGTGATTTTGTTCTTTTTATGGTTGTATAGTATTCCATGGGGTATATATACCACATTTTCTTTATCTAATCTACCACTGATTAGCACTTAGTTTGATTCTATATCTTTGCTACTGTAAATGGTGCTGTGACAAATACACAAGTTAATGTGTCTTTTTGGTAGAAAAATTTCTTTTCCAGTAATGGGATTTCTGGATCAAATGATAGTACTGTTTTAAGTTCTTTGAGCAGGGGACGCTATTCTTGTATCAGATAAGACAGACTTTAAACAAACAACAATAAAAACAGACAAAGAAGGTAACTACATAATGATACATGGTTCAATTCAGTAAGAAGACTTACCTATCCTTAATACATATGACTTTCGAAGTTTGTTTCAGGAGTAGCCTGTCTTGACTATTTAAAGGCCCAAGACTCACTCTGAAACTTGATTTCCCATCTAATAAATTGCTGAATACACCTTGCAAAAGTGAATATCCTACTCTGAGAAAGGTAGTATTCCGATTCTGAAATTTAGAATCTCACTCTTAAGAGTTAGTTACTTCTTTGGTTAGTAATTTTAAAATCTAAGACTATAGTAAGAAAAAATCTCATTGATTAAAATATGTGGAAAATTAAGCTATACATTTGTCACTTCTTTCTAAATTCCTCTCTCACTGTGTAGGTGCCTCAAATCTGTGGAAACATACAACATATCATGCATGTTACATGCTAGGTAGTATCTAAGGAGCACCTTTAAAATATCCTTGCACATAGATTCTAATTCATGAACTCTCATCATGCTAGTGCATTTCTTCCTTCAAGCACCTTTCTCTTTACTTTGGAATTCCATTCTCAGTCCTAAGGCTTGTTGAAGAGGCCTTACCCCTTATTCCAATGATGTCAACCACATCCCAAAATAGAAGCCTCTGAAGTGTGCATCATCACACTGTTCTCTTCCCAACACTGCCCTGTTCTGCTTCTGTAGTGTCTCAAGGTCCCACTATTGCCTGCATCTGACTCTTTCTGGATGCAATATAGCAGAGTGGAGAACAGGCTCTGGAATCAGGTACAACTTCAAATTTCAGTCATGCCATTGATCAGTTGCACAAATGTGAATAAACTGCCTAAACACTGCAATCTCATTTGTAGAATGACAGGCTCCTTTTCCATATATACAACAACTGATTTGTCAATAACTTGATCATTTAGTTATAGCAATAGCTACCAAATTTGCTACCCATTTCCCAGCTTAACACCATACTTTTATTCAATCCAATCTACAGACTATAACAAAATAAATTTCCTTCATGTTAAAATGTCTTATAATTCCCTACTTTAAATCCTTCATTTCAAATCTTTAGCATGCTATACCAAATATTCTCTCTTTTTTTTTTTAATTTCAGCTTGTTCTGTCTTGGCCTCTTGTCTTTCCAAATACTCTTCCTATAACATCCCTAAGCCAAACCTAGGTCGAATAACCTGCTTAAAATTTCCAAAAGGAACTACAACTTCCTATACCACCTTGGTTTGATAATCCACCCTATCTAGACTACAGACTTTTTGTTTTCTATCTTGCTCATTCCTATTTTAAGACTCAGCTCTAGAGGTCCTGACTTCCCTGGTTCCCTAGCTGAGTTAGTCTGTTCCTCTTCTGTACATCTAAAATGTCCTGGACATCCCTCTGCTCAGCATATGTCACAATGATGGCACTTGTTTATGTTCTTGCTCTTTACTCTTTACTGGAAACTTCAGAGCATTATATAATGTTTTCTTATCTGTCTCTTGACCACCTAGAATATTATCTGTCACTTGATAGGTTTCTGTATTAGTTTTCTAGGACTGCCTTAACAAACTACCACAAACTGGTGGTTTAAACAACACAAATGTACTGTATTTCAGGTCAGGTGTCTAGAAGTTGGAAATTAAGGTGTTCTAGGGTTGGTTTCTTCTAAGGGCTGTGAAAAAAAGATCTGTTCCAGGCTTCTCTTGCTTGCAGATGACTATTCATGTTCACATGGAATTCTCCCTCCAAGCATGTCTCATGTTCATATAACATTCTCCCTCTAAATGAGTCTGTCTTCAGATTTCCTGTTTTTATAAGTATACTAATGATATTGGATTAAGGCCCATCCTAATGACCTCATTTTACTTGATTACTCTGTGTCCAAATATGATCACATTCTGAGATACTGGGCATTAGGACTTCAATACTGGACATTTTAGGAGACACGATTCCTCCCATAACAGTGACCAATACTTATTGAATTCATAGATGTATGGAAGTTAAGGGAAGGCATTAGTAAATTTGTTACAAACAACTTTACCTACTTAGATCATATGCGTATTAGTTACACGGCTATATATCACAAAGGTAACATAAGAACTATCTTATACCACAATATAAGATCCTCAGATAGAGAAGGAACAAAAACCTTTAACAGGTGTCTTTAGCCCTTGGATGTAACCTCTTTTGCTGCACTGATTCAAAGTTTATGAAGCCATTTATTTCTCCCTCAGCTGGGGATTCTCTGCTCTGTTAATTTTCATCCTGTTCCTCCTTTATTCAATTTTTAAGTCTTTAGAACTACAGTGGATCCCGAGAATACCACAGAGAAGAAAATTCAATACTCTGTCCACTCAGCAAACCCATCATATGGAATAATGGCATTCATATAAGAAAATAACACTTATACAAATTATAGTTTGTCATAGGTTTGCAAAACCTGTAAAGCCTCTGGGAATCAAGATATATTGAAAAATCCATTCTGCTAGCTACATAAAAACACTTAAAAGCACCAAGATTCTTTGTGCCAAGTGGAGAAATTGCAAGGAAAGGTGAAAGGATATTACTACATAGTAAGGCATTTGCATTTAACAGGTTTTCCTTTATTTTTATTAAATGTCCGTGGTTCTGGCATAGTGATTTCACTTTCTATAAAAGCCTAATGTGTCACAGCATAATATATATCTAAAAATCATTACTGGATTTTTAGATAGGATCCAATTTTGTTACACATTTCCCTTCTCATCTAATCATCACAAGTAACCTAAAATAGATCATGCATTAAAAATGTATATACGTAAGATTGGTACCTAGAGCTTCACGCTGTATGTAATGGTTCTTCAAGAGTTCAGAATAGATATTTGAGACATATAATCATGTGTTTCCTCTGATGTAGATTATGGGGAAAATAGCAACACTTGTGTACTATGTGTACATTACAGTGATCCTGTTTCATTGCCAAAAATGTAAGTGGCATGTTAGATCTAATTATTTAACGTGTGAGTACATCTATCACGCATAAACATGTTTTATTTGATATGAATTCATAAGCACACACATATTTTTTAATATATTAGCCAATGATAAAATCACCTAGACTCCTTTTGAGAATGTTCCTTATGAGAGTAAGTCACCCTAACTGTTCTAGATTGGAATCTCAAGGAGGCAAGGAGAACATTTACCCAAGGATGAAGAGGGGTGGGCACAGAACCAGCCCCTGAGCTCTTACTGCTGTCTCAATGCCACCATGACACTCAGTAGATGTATTTGTAAACAGAAAAAACTGTCTTATGAGAACCTAGGTGAAAGGCAGCCATACTCAGCCACCTTGAGCCATGGGAGAATTAGACTGTGCCACACACTGTGCAGCAGCAAGAGGCTATGACAGTGATAAGCTGATCCTGGATTTTCTCAGCATTTGATTTGGGAAGCTAAAATGAACCCCCTGTTAAACTGTGTAATTGCTTGAAGTACTGGGAGAGAGTTTCCTCAAGAAGATAATAACAGACTTCTTACTAATGAGAAGTAGGGGTGCTCAAGCATTTAAGAAGAAATGTAGAAGAGATGTGAGAGCATTTGCAGTTAGAACTTGCAGAGTTCAGGACAATTGTACATATCTTCAGGCATTGCATGCATGTACATATTCACACACATTTCCATGATCTGGCATTTTCGTCCCAGCTACTCAATCAACCAAACCTGAAGCAATAAAAATTTCAAGAATAAACAAGAATTACAAATAGCCATAATATAATTAGCATCAGATGGTTCTACCCAATGTAAAAGATTAGAGAAGATCTCCTGCATCAGCAGTATAGTCTCTGCTTGCACTTTAGTTGGAGAGACAGGTGGATATTTTGAGCTCTGTTAAGCAGTAAAGTTTTTATGTGTCTCTCTGGAAATGAATTTGGATTGGCTACTAGTCTGTCGTCAGCTGCTTGGAAATACTGAAGCATTTGGTAAATAATGCAGACAGATTCCCATCAACCTTCTCTATATTGCTGTCTTTGTTGCTTATCTAACACAAAGATATGTTTGTAATTAAACTGGAGTTTTGAAAGAAGACAAGTTGAGGAGTGGATACAAATTAATTTGATCATGAAGTGGAAATACTAGTTAAATAAAAAAGCTTCCAATGTCAGGAGACAAAGAACAGAGCATGAGAAATACCAGAAAGGATTGCCCTGTGTTGTGCCATAATAATTCAGGAAACAGAAGATAAAGCTTTATTCTGTAGCTATTTCTAAAACAAAATGGAACATAGCCTAGTGTTTAAAAGAGGCTTCACTTTCTTCTACAAAGTCCTATTTGGCAAATCCAGATGGAATCATTTGAATCTGAGCTGACCAAATAGTTACAATTAATTCAAGAGTTGCTTTTAGCAAAATTTGAGCATTTTGCAAGCTAAGGGGTTGGACTGACTCACCAGAGTAATGTGCTGTCATTAATGCACTGACCTTGAAATAGAGGACACATCTTGGTAAAGGGGGCTCTCTGAGGAAACGAAAATATATTGATACTAGTTACAGTGTGATTTATTTTAGTGGACAGTAGCAAAATAGAGGCTGGGAATATTATAAAATGCCACTTCCTCATTCTAACCAACAAACTGAGGATTTAATCTAAATATTAACAAAAGTGCCTATACTTATGTCTATATATTTATGTATAAATAATAAAGAGATTGACCATTTTTGCTTGTGAATTTAACAAATTATGTCAATCTTCTAGCAAATTTTTATCAAACTGAGAAAAGTAACGCTACTTGTTTAGTGCTGTTTATTATCATTATGCTAACTTTCTGACAATTCTGGAAGGTAATAAACAGAGCACCAATTAAAAAAAAATTTAATTCTAAAATCTCATTATTAATTCCAAAATGTGGTTTGGACAACCAGTGACAATGAAATTTTTCTATGTCCATGTAAAATCATTTAGGTGTGTATAGGTTTGATTTAAATTATTTCCTCCTATTTGTGTATCACTATAAACAGATGTGGAGGATGAGATATAGGATATATTTTAAATGGAAATATTGTATTGCTTTGGGAAAATTCAAGACATTTAGTGCCTGAAGACCTCCAGATCTTGAAATTTAAGAAAATGGGATCCCACAGCAGTAATGGCTGAGCCAGAATCCTCAGTATTCTTGTGGGTGTTCCTGCCCCTACATTGTCAACTTCAATTTCTGCCATGAGAAGCACCTAGGACAGAGTTTGGAGACAGCAAGAAATATGGCAATATTGGCCAGTCTGCTGACTTACTTTAGAAATTTGGCTACTTTTCATGTCTTTCTTTTGAAACGGAGGAAAAAATTTACCTAGAGTTTAAGATCTCTTATTTAGTACAGGAGCTTCCAATTTTTAATAGCATAAACTTAATAATGAAAAATTATAGGCCCCTTACGTTGTAGTAGTTGTTCTCTTAGAATCTACTGATTAAGACAATTCATAATGATATAAAACTCTCTATTAGATCACTATGCACTTAAAGAATATAGATTTTATTAAAATCCATGCATCCATATTCATTATTCATGCTGCATATTTTATTAGAGCTAAATTAAGACCAAACTGACAGTGCTATGTGTACATATGAATTGTTGGATGCTCTTCTTGGAGTACCTGGTACCCCACTGATTCTGAACTCTTCCTCTAGTCCATTCACTTTGCAGTAAGTTATTTTTCTCACTCAGAATTGCTCTGAAACACTTACCCTATTCTCTTCTCACCATAGTCTATACTTAAGCATAGTGATTCTCTTAAATTGTCAGTCTGATCCTGGCATTCCTCTTCTCATAACCTCCTATCTCAGAATAGAAACGATACCATTGCCATGGCCTATAAGATATACATGATGGTGTTTCACCCCTTGGCATCATCACCGAGTGCTCTCTCACTCTCTCACCCAGGTCCAGACACATTCTCCTCATTGCTCTTTCCTGGATAACTGACCTTAACCACTCCCACCACAAAGCTTGAATGGGAAATGACCATTGTCTGGAATATTCTTTCACTTCCTTATGATATGAAACAATATAAAGGTGATTCATCTATAGTTTATTGTCTGAGTTTAGCTATTTTATTGAATGTATTAGACAATGAGAAATATTTTATTGAAGGCTTTACAGGGCAGGGAGGCATACATGTATGTGTTTTTATTCACCACTCTATCTCTCCTGGTTAGAACAGTGTCTGGCACATAGTAAGTACTCAACAAATATTTGTGAATAAATGAATAAATAAATGAATCAGTGAAAAAATGTATAATATGTCTGTCAAAGGTTTTGGAGAGCCTGAAACACTTTGAGGATGTGAAAGGGCATTTTTCTAAAAACATTGATTTTTCTGCTAATTTAAAGTACACTTCTTGATTAAGCATATTTTTAAATCTTTTTTTTAAATCGGGTGGAGAGAAAAGTATTAAAAATACAAAATACAGTTCTTCATTTAAAAATAATAATAATACCTAACATGTATATAGGATTTATTATTTCCAGACACTCTTATAACTGCTTTACACCTGTTTACTCACTTGAACCATAAAAGTATCCTATAGGGTATGAATTGTTATGTAATCTAAATTTTACAAAAAAGGAAACTGAGGTATAGAGAAGCTATATGACTTTCCTAAATTCAGTGAGTGTAAGGGCTAAAGATGAGACTAACATGTGGACAGTCTGGCTTCTGTGTTTTCACTCTTGTATTACTTGGGATTCTCCAGAGAATCAATAGGAGATATAAATATATATTAGAGAAGAGTTATTGTGGGAATTGGCTCACGTGATTATGAAGGCTGGAAATTCCCACAATATACCATGTGCAAGCTGGAGATCCAGGAAAGCCAGTGGTGTACTTTGTTCCTAGTCCAACAGCCTAAAAACTGGAGTGATGGGGTACGGGGGTGGAGGAGGAGCCACTGGTGTAAGTACTGGAGTCCAAAGGCCAGAGAACCAGGAGATCTGATGTCTGAGGGCAGGAGATGAAGGTTCCAGCTCAAGAAGAGAATTTGCCCTTCCTCCATGTTGGAGCCCTCTCATATTGGACGACACCCACCCACATTGGTGAGGAATGATTTTCTTTACTCAG
This sequence comes from Homo sapiens, assembly GCF_000001405.40. Lineage (NCBI taxonomy): Eukaryota > Metazoa > Chordata > Mammalia > Primates > Hominidae > Homo > Homo sapiens. The sequence continues at coordinate 96,036,781 of NC_000004.12, read as the reverse complement.
TCTACTGATTTAACTACTAATCTCTTCCATAAACATCATAACTGTTAACCATCATATTGCAACACTGATTATTTAGCTTTTGTTCTCTGTCTCTCTTTCTCCCTCTTTCTTTCCTCTAAGCCCCACTGCATATATTAGGCAAAGGTAAAATGTATTTGAACTACAAGTCTCTGTATACCTGGCTACCTAAAGTACAGTCTGGAAATTGTCATTTTAGTTCAGTTAATATTATATTACATTACAATCCTAAGTCACTCACAAATTTAATTCTAAAACCAAATCTGATGAGAAAGAGAAAAAAAACCTTATATATCAAGCATGGTTCTTCTACAATCAGATTGTTACATTAAAAGTATCAATAATTATCCCTTTTAAATTTCCTATTATAATAGCTTATAACTTTTTAAATATAAGTGAATACATGTGAATGCTCTCATTTGAATGACTATTCCATTTAATTTGATATTTACCTATAGATAAGTGCTATGTTTCCTAATTACTTCTAAATAGGATAAATATTAAAATATATCTGCCATCTATTAAACCAGCCAAAAAGTCTATAAAAAATAAGAATTCAATATTCAATAAAATTAAAATGGAGAGCAAGACTGTTATCTCATTACAAGAGAACACAAAAAGTCAAATTAGCTGGAACTGAGATAAAATCTGAGACAGCACTTAAGATAGGAAGTCTTTATACAATGGTCAAGTTCATCTGAGTCAGAAACTCTTGAATGGTCCATTAACTATGGGCCTTTCTACCCTAATCACTATAGGAAGGTATCCTAGGATATAAGAAAGGAATTTACTTACCTTAACCAAGTCCACAATAAGCAGATGGGCTCCTTATTACACACAACTCACAGAATGGTTACAACCCATAGGGGGCAGCATAATGTTTTAAACTGTACTGAGCCCTCAATAACTATTGTTCCTTATTCTATCCTAAGATGCTATCATTCTGCCATTCTTCATTTTTCAATACACTAACATTTACCTACTCCTATCATGTGAATCATATTTTCCTTTGTATTTTTTTATTTATTCCATCCATAAACCTTGTTTTATTGCAAAGAAAGAAATGTGATGTTCTTTCAGGAACTCATAGCTTAGTTGGGGAGGCTGATATGACTGTTTTTGTGTCTTGGTGATAAATGCAAAAATAAGCACATATACATTTTACAGAGGTAAGGTAGAGGATATGTGGATTGGCCTGTGGAGGTATTATCTGCAAAGATTTTCTAAGCAATGCAATGCCTAAGTTGGAGTGTGAACGTACTTTAAAAAAAAAAATTCCTTAAGTAGGAAGAATAGAAAAACATTCCAGAAAGAAGTAACAAATAGTGTGAAAATTGTGAAAGTGTAAAAGGAATATAATGTATAGGAAACTTGAAAAAACTCAGATTTCCTGAAGTGCAAGTGAAATATAAAGCATTAGACCTGTGGAAAATGGTTATTGGGAGATTAAGTAGTTAAATATAAAAACACTTCAGATGTCATGGTGGTAGGCGATGTCGTCTTCTCCAGCACTCAGAAGGTAAAGACTAGACTTGAATTTTAGAGAGGTCTCTTTGGCAGCAGGATGAATTATGGATGATTTCTCAGTAAGAAAGTAGCAGTGGAAATAGGAAGTAACAGAAAGCATTTGAAGGTAAAAGAGATTTGCTAAATAGTTAGCTATTGGGTAGGAAGGATTTATATAAGATGGTTCTCAATTTTCTTGTATGTGAATTGGAATGAATCTACATTATTGTTTACTAAGACAGTGAATATGAGATAAAATAGTTGGGAGAAAAAAGAGATTTTCTTATTTTAGACATTTTATTTTATTTTATTTTATTTTATTATTATTATACTTTAACTTTTAGGGTATATGTACACAACGTGCAGGTTTGTTGCATATGTATACATGTACCATGTTGGTGTGCTGCACCCATTAACTCGTCATTTAGCATTAGGTATATCTCCTAATGCTATCCCTCCCCCTTCTCCCCACCCCACAACAGGCCCTGGTGTATGATGTTCCCCTTCCTGTGTCCCTGTGTTCTCATTGTTCAATTCCCACCTATGAGTGAGAATATGCGGTGTTTGGTTTTTTGTCCTTGCGATAGTTTGCTGAGAATGATGGTTTCCAGTTTCATCCATGTCCCTACAAAGGACATGAACTCATCATTTTTTATAGCTGCATAGTATTCCATGGTGTATATGTGCCACATTTTCTTAATCCAGTCTATCATTGTTGGACATTTGGGTTGGTTCCAAATCTTTGCTATTGTGAATAGTGCCGCTATAAACACACGTGTGCATGTGTCTTTATAGCAGCATGATTTATAATCCTTTGGGCATATACCCAGTAATGGGATGGCTGGGTCAAATGGTATTTCTAGTTCTAGATCTCTGAGGAATCGCCACACCAACTTCCACAATGGTTGAACTAGTTTACAGTCCCACCAACAGTGTGAAACTGTTCCTATTTCTCCACATCCTCTCCAGCACCTGTTGTTTCCTGACTTTTTAATGATCGACATTCTAACTGGTGTGAGATGGTATCTCATTGTGGTTTTGATTTGCATTTCTCTGATGGCCAGTGATGATGAGCATTTTTTCATGTGTTTTTTGGCTACATAAATGTCTTCTTTTGAGAAGTGTCTGTTCATATCCTTTGCCCACTTTTTGATGGGGTTGTTTGTTTTTTTCTTGTAAATTTGTTTGAGTTCATTGTAGATTCTGGATATTAGCCCTTTGTCAGATGAGTAGGTTGCGAAAATTTTCTCCCATTCTGTAGGTTGCCTGTTCACTCTGATGGTAGTTTCTTTTGCTGTGCAGAAGCTCTTTAGTTTAATTAGATCCCATTTGTCAATTCTGGCTTTTGTTGCCATTGCTTTTTGTGTTTTAGACATGAAGTCCTTGCCCATGCCTATGTCCTGAATGGTATTGCCTAGGTTTTCTTCTAGGGTTTTTATGGTTTTAGGTCTAACACGTAAGTCTTTAATCCATCTTGAATTACTGTTTGTATAAGGTGTAAGGAAGGGATTGAGTTTCAGCTTTCTACATATGGCTAGCCAGTTTTCCCAGCACCATTTATTAAACAGGGAATCCTTTCCCCATTTCTTGTTTTTGTCAGGTTTGTCAAAGATCAGATAGTTGTAGCTATGTGGCATTATTTCTGAGGGCTCTGTTCTGTTCCATTGGTCTATATCTCTGTTTTGGTACCAGTACCATGCTGTTTTGGTTACTGTAGCCTTGTAGTATAGTTTGAAGGCAGGTAGTGTGATGCCTCCAGCTTTGTTCTTTTGGCTTAGAATTGACTTGGTGATGCGGGCTCTTTTTTGGTTCCATATGAACTTTAAAGTAATATTATCCAATTCTGTGAAGAAAGTCATTGGTAGCTTGATGGGGATGGTATTGAATCTATAAATTACCTTGGGCAGTATATTTTAAATGTGTAGGCCATCCGTGTTAAAATCTATTTGGATATTAAGCTTATGTATTTTTGTTTTAAAAACCTTAATTTCCAGGGTAAATGAATAATTAAAGCTAAAGAGTTTTAAGTCTTGAAAGTAACATTACATTTATGTAGGAATTTTAAATATAAAAAGTTCTTGTTTGCTTTTTCTCAGAATTGTTATTGCTTAATAATGATTATAATGCAGCCATAGAAAAGAATGAGTTCATGTCCTTCGCAGGGACATGGAGGAAGCTGGACACCATCATTTTCAGCAAACTAACACAGGAACAAAAAACCAAACACCGCATGTTCTAATTCATAAGTGGGAGTTGAACAATGGGGACGCATGGACACAGGGAGAGGAACATCCCACACAGGGGCCTGTCGGGGGATGGGGGGCAAAGGAAGGGAGAGCATTAGGACAAATACCTAATGCAAGCAGGGCTTAAAACCTAGATGACAGCTTGATGGGTACAGCAAACCACCATGGCACATGTATACCTATGTAACAAACATGCACGTTCAGCACATGTATCCCAGAACTTAAAATAAAATTAATAATAGCAATAATGATTATAAGTATGTAGCTATGAAATAGAAACCCTGTGCAACCGGCTTTTAGAGACATTTAACTTTGCAAAATCTTTTTTTCCTGTCGCTCTAGGACCAGGATGAATAGCACAGTTTCTCTTAGGTTCTTCACCTTTGTTCATGATTATCATAAAAAACGAAGTCTCTCAAATAACTCAGCTGAATGTCAGCACAAAAGCATTTTTATTTTTAGGAAAAGTGCTAGTTTCTAACCTTGTGACAACAATTTTAAAAAGTGAAGTAACCTGTAGGCTTTTCTGGATACCTAATTTATCCATCTGAATAGCTATATAATAGCAATGCTTGAACAGAGCTGAAATCTGGAAGGGAAGTATGGATTTGGGATATGGATTAGGGTGGGATCAGATTCACAAAACGTTTTGCAAGTAGAAGGAGGGAATAATGTATATTGAATTAGGCAAAGGCAAGTCAGCAAGAAAAAAGCAGGAGCATGACGAGAAAAGCCCAGAATAATAACGTGACGGTATTATTACATGTTTCTTAAAGAAATAAGAAAATGACAAAAAGTACAAAAGCTAATTCAAAAGTCTTTATACTTTGACAAAAAGTACAAAAGACACACTATGTGTGTCTCTGGGTTTTATGAATATCTACATTGTTTATGAATAAAATAAGAAAATTCTTTGCTTTCATTGAACCCTTTTGGTGTGACCTGCTATTCTTTCATAAGTTTGGGTTCAGTTTTCTTTTGTATTTTAGTATTCCTCTTCCCTATGGATGTATGATTCCGAATTTGATATGTGGAAGAAAGAATCACGCAGATGTCTAGAATTCTTATCTCTTCTCCCAGTAGGTTTGTTTTTAATTCACTCTCCCACACTTGTACTTCTAACCTCCTTAATAAAAATGAAATCCCTTTTTATTCATTAGCATTTTAATAGAAAAAGAAGACTACAATAATAGTATAGTCTATGTCCATATGCTATGTTAAATAGGACAGAGCATTCCATAATTCCCAGAAGAAAAGTTTCATGCAGACTAAATACAGCATTTTGATTGTATCAGCACTGGATATGATACTACTTTCTATCCACAAAGCAATTATGGTTAAGACACCTAAATTTCTAAAATTAACATGTGATTATTTTCCCTATGTTGTAAGACTATATGGCATTTCCAAAATTCTTTGAACTATTATGAGGCATAATTGAAATATAACTATTTTAGATCTAATGAAATCTTAAAGTAAAACAGCCATTGCAGTTCTCCCTCAGGCTATACAGGGCTGTGTCAGCCAACCCAACAACGCTCCAAATGTATTACCTTGGAAAAGCTAATATATTAACGTGTTTCAAAATCTGTCTTTCTCTTTGAAAAGCATATGTATGGAAAGCTTCTTGTCAAACACATTGTAGTTTACAATGGCCATCATGAGTCAAATAAATTGTTCAACTATGATCCATTCAATGATCCTCTAAGTACAAGATTGTGACACATGTACTCTGTTGGCTTGGGGATGGAGGTATCATCAAGGAAAAAATATGTAAAGGACTAATAAATAATTTGCCATAATGTGTAGACTTTCTTAATATAAAATAGATAAGTAAATAGAAAAAAGCAAAACCTAGGTCTACCGGACTATTTTTATTTGATATTTTAATTTATTCTTTTAAAGCATGTTTGGGATTACAATAGTTTTCAGTTTCTTGTCAATTCGATAGCTGCCTTATGATTAATATTTGAAGCAGCCAGGCATGTATTCCCAATTTAGAAATAGTGCTACCTCTCCAGCTTTGAAATATCATCATCTTACATGTCCAGTGGGCCTCTATGAAAAGGCTTTACAAAAATGAAGGATTTAACACAGATCTGCATGAGAAGAACAAGCATCTCATTACCTTAGACCTTTTTGCTTTCAAGATATCTTTATTTGGTTGCCTTATAGCTCCTATTTACCTATTAACAACAATACAAACAATCAAAAATAATAATTATCTTTGGAGTGATATGTTTTATACATAATAATGACCCAAATAAATTTTCTTATTTTGATTTCTGACAAATAAATGGCACAGGTTGAATTATTACCATATTATAGATAATTAAACTGAGACTTGATTATCTATCCACAGTCACTCAGCAATTAATGGCAAAGATTAAACATGAATCCAAATCTTCAAATTCCTGATTCCAATCTCTTCTTTGTATATGTATCAAATATTTAATGTCAAAGAACTTAGAATGAACCAATTGAAAGCTTACTAGTTGAATAGAGTTGCTCTTCTGGCAACATAAAATTTCCACCTCATTCCTCTTTCTCTTTCTAGGTCATTTTTAGTCATAATTCTTCTCAAGACTGCCTTGCTTTTATATGGATCTCTTGTTCACATAATTAGTGTATTAGTCAGGGTTCTCTAGAGGGACAGATCTAATAGGATATATATATATAGAGAGATAGATTTATATAGATATATATTTATCTCTTCATATACGTGTGTGTGTATATATATATACATATATCTCCTATTTTTACAATGAGTTTTCTCATTGTTTTTGTTTACCACATGATATCTGGTCTGGACTCCTAGATATCATGTGGTAAGGGAAAACTGCCCAGTCAGAGTCATTACTGTCTAATGGATGTTAGCCACAGACCAGTGAATGTAGATTGGGAAGAGAAGAAAGTGTTCCTTTCCTTGCAGTTCCCACCATCCAAACTTCTGTTTTTGGCCATAAAGAACCCTGACATTCAACCTCCCTCTTCTTCCCAGTTCTCTACTCACTTATTCCCACTCTTTATATCTTCAAAATATATATATATATATATATATATATATATATACATATACACACTATATATATACACACACTACATATATACATAGTTTGAAGATATAAAGATATATATATAGAGAGAGAGAGAGAGAGAGAGAAAGACTCATTCTGTCACCTGGACTGGAGTGCAGTGGCACAATCATGGCTCACTGCAGCCTCAATCTCCTTGGCTCAAGTGATACTCCCATCTCAGCCTCCTGAGTAGTTGGGACCACAGACACACAACATCATGACTAATTGGTTTTTATACTTTGTAGAGACAGGGTCTCTCTATGTTGCCCAGGCTGATCTCAAACTTCTGGGCTTAAGTAATCCTCTCACCTCAGCTCCCCAAAATTCTAGAGTACAGGCATAGGCCACCACACTCAGCTGAGGCTCATTTATAAAAGCTTTGTGAAGTTTTTTTCTTTGAATCAGGCTTGGAAAGTGTTCTTTGAGGGAGACCAGATATCTTGCGGCAAACAACGAGAAACTGAAAGTGAAGACTGCCCAGCCAGAGTCCTTACTGTGTAATGGATGTTAGCCACAGATCAGCAAATGTAGATCGGGAAGAGAAGAAATTGTTGCAGATGGGACACTGAGATACCAGAAGAATGGAGAAATGCCCAAAGATGTTGGCTAAGATTTGTGATGCTTTGGTTAAAGTCTTAAAGAGATCTGGAACACCAGGAGTTAAAGAGTAAAGCCAAATGCTGATCTTTAATTCCTAGTCATCCTGGGCCACCTCTGGGCCTGGCATTGCAAAGCCCCATCAGGCCTCTAGGGCACACATATCCTCATTCCACCCTGACCCCAAATCTTCCTCATCCAAACCCTAATAATCATTGATATGGTTTGGTTCTGTGTTCCCACCCAAATCTCATATTGAATTGTGATCCTGAATGTTGGATGTGGAGCCTGGTGGGAGGTGAATGGATCATGGGAATGGTTTCTAATGGTTTAGCACCATCCTCCTAATACTGTTTCGTGATAGAGTTCTCACAAGATCTGGTTGTTTGAAAGTGTGTGGTACTTCCCCTTTGCTCTCTCTTCCTCCTGCTCCAGCCATGTAGGACATGCCGGCTTCCCCTTTACCTTCGGTCATTATTGTAAATTTTCTAAGGCCTCCCCAGCCATGCTCCCTGTACAGCTTCTGGAACTGTGAGCAAATTGAACCTCTTTTCTTTATAAATTACCCAGTTTCAGGTAGTTCTTTATAGCAGTGTGAGAATAGACTAATACAATCACCTTGCTGTGGAAACTGCCCCTGCATCCTCTGGAATAGCCAGCTTCTTGACCAAGGAGCCCTCAGCAACCTTGCAGTTCCCACCATCCAAACTTCTGTTTTTGACCATAAAGAACCCTGCCATTCAACCTCCCTGTTCTTCCCAGTTCTCTACTCACTTATTCCCACTCTTTATATCTCCAAACTCTATTTGTTTCTTCCCATCAGCACTAAAACATACTTAATCTTTCCACCTGATGATAATACTTTTGGACTACAAATTTCCATTCAGCCCCCATTCTTTTCCCATTCACAGCCAGACTTGTGAAACAATCACCTTCACTCTGTCTTGCCTCCCACTCATCATGCAACTGGCAATGATTAATCTGCACTCAGTCACTATAGATTAGTTTGCCTTTTCCAAAATTTTACATAAATAGAATAATACAGTATGTTCTCATTTTCATCTGACTACCTGCAAACAACATAATTAACTTGACATTCATCCATATTGTTGCATGTATCAATAATTCATTCTTCTTTTAAGGACAATTTGTTTATCATTTTTACCTGTTGAATGGCATTTTTTTTTAAAATTTTTGAGCTATTGCAAATAAAGCTGTTAAGAATATTTGTGTATAAATCTTTGTATGAATGTATGTTTTATTTTATTGACACGTGTGGATTATGGGGATTATGAGGATTATAATTCAAGATGAAATTTGGGTGGGGACACAAAGCCTAACCATATCAATCTTAATGAAGTTGTAGTTTGTATTTTCTTAATGACTGATAATGTTAAACCAACTTTTCACGTATTGACACCTGTATGTCATCTTTGATGAAGTGGTACAGATTTTAGCCCATTTTGCCTTAGGTTGTATATTTAGTCCATTTTATATTAGGTTCTAGGTACAGATTTTAACCCATTTTATGTTAGCCAGTATGTTTTGTAATTATTTATTTGTGAGAAATCTTTACATATTTAGAGTACAAGTCCTTTGTCAGATATTTGATTTGCAAATATTTTCTCTGTGCCAATGTTTTGTGTTTCTATTCTCCAGTGTCTTTTAAAGAGTAGCAGTTTTCAGTTTTGATGAAATCCAATTCAATTCATCAATCCTTTGTCTCGTGAATCATGGCTTTGGTGCTATATAAGAAATCTTTGACCCAATGTCACAAAAAATTCTCCTGTGTTTTCTTGTACAAGTTATACCAGTATTATATTAGGTTTTACCATTAAGTTAATGATTCACCTTAAGTTATGTTTTCTATATGGTGTTAGGTGTAAATTAAATAATAATTTATTTTGTAGTTGTGGTATTGTTGTTTTCTTTCCATGGTTTTACTGTTGTGCCAGCAACACTTATTGAATAAACAATCTGTCCATTTATTTGGGATTTTTTTTTCTCTCAACAGTGTTTTATAGTTCCCAGTGTGCAGCTCTTAAACATTTTTTGTCAGATAGATCCTTAAGTATTTCATACATTTTGATACTATTTTAAATGATATTCTTTTTAAAAGTTATGTTCTCTAATTGTTCATTGCTACTATATAGAAATATAGTTGAGTTTTATATATTGATTTTGTATTATACAACCTTGTAAAACTCACTTATTGATTCTAGTAGCTATTTTTGCAGATTCATAAGATTTTTCACATAGATGATTGTGTCATCTGCAAGTAAAGCCAGTTTTACTTCTTTCTGCACAGGATATCTGTCTGTTTATCTGATCTGTCTACTTATCTGTGTATCTCACCTTATTGCACTGACTAGAACGTTAAATTCAGTATTGAATAAGAGTCATGAGATCAGAGATCTATTCTTTGTTTTTAATATATGGTAAAAGCATTTAGTCTTTCAATATTAACTAGAATGCTGTGTAGAATGCCCTATCAGGTTGAAGAAGTTTCATTATTCCTAATTCAATATTTTTTTTTTTTTGGTCAGGAATTGATGTTGAATATTTTAAGTGCTTTTTCTAAATCTACTAAGATGATCATGTAGTTTTTCTTTTTTAATCTTTTAATATGGCTATAGCAGTCTGGGTCCAATCAGAAGACAGAAATCACAGAGTAGGTTAAATGTAGCAGAAGTTTAAAATAAATAATTATTAGCTATGATTAAAGAATAACTAAAAAGTGCAAAGAAACTAGACATTGTAACCTAGGGCTATGGGAGAGCACTGAAGGAAGAAAAAATTTGGAAGCAATTTAGAACAGGGTGGAGGAGGTATAGTTTAGCACATCAAAAAGAAGAGAAGTTTGCTGCTTTGGCCAAGTTCCTGGAGATGACCTTTTGTAACAGGACAAACAACAAGAAAGTCTCCAGAATATAGGTGGAGAGCAGAAAATCAGTAACAGGGTATGAGCACTCAGTGGGCACACAGAGGGAATGAGATCCTTCCAAACACCAGTTGAGCTGCGCAGGGGCTTGCAGAAAGAGCAGTAGTTTGGCTAGTGTAAAACTTCTGAGCTGCAAACAGGCTGCACTAGGACCATACAGTAACTAGAAGAGAGAGTGAAGGTACAGGTGTAGGATGGACGTCTTTGGTTGTCAGTTTCCATGCTGAAAGGGTTATGGAAAGATTATTTTCAGGTTGAGGCTGCACGGCTCCAGAGGGACCTGGTTCTAGGCTCATGGCTCATGAAGGTAAACCAGATATACTCACACCCACACTTCCAACTCCTGTGCTGCAGCCAGAAACTGCAGGAGAGCTTCTTCCTTCTGCAATGTCCCCCCAGTGCCTTTTACTAAGAAAAATTGATATTGTGTTCACTTTAATTGAGTAAATGCTAAATATAATTCCTTTGTTTATCACAGGGCATATATTAGAAGTTGCACTGAGCTGAGGGGCAAATTGATAATTGAAGTACTCCACCCCTTTGGCTGTTTAGCTTGGATATGCTCTTCCACACATATTTTAAGTCTCTTCCAACAGTAAAACAATATAACCAGTTATTCTCACTTAACAAGAAGGATATATCTTTTTTTTTTTTTTAAGGTGAAGAAGATCTCACTCTAAGTTGAAAACACACAAAATCCCAACAGGTTTGTTTTCCATTGAAGACAATATTGATTACTCCTTGAATTTAGTCATGGTCCTACAGAATATTCTGTTACCTAAAGACTAAATTGTAAATTTCATCTCTAATAATTCATGCAGAAAATAAATTTAGAAAAAGAAATGGGAAGGAGAGAGAAAATAACCCGCATAGGAAAAATATGCAAAGCAAATACATTCCCTGTTGCAACTACATTGGCTACAAGATTGTAGGTGATATCCAGGGCTTTCTTCTTTAACTGTCCATTCAATATTTTCTTTGACTTCAGCCAGAACATATGCTTCTCTTGTTTCTTTTACCTGGTGGAGCAACCCAAATATTTATTTTCAAATGTTGTGAATCTTCAGTCACCATGCTTTTACTTAGGTTGCTTTAGTTTTTCATTTACCTTTACTGTTAGATGTGGCAATGCTAAGAGGCACCCTAGATAATCTCATTGGTTCCAGACTTGGTTCTGTCGTGCAAGCAGCAACCACAATTTCCCCTTGGTAATTAGGATCAGTCATTTTATCTAGTAGATTATCTCCCTTTTTCTTTTTTAAAGAGATGGGAGTCTTATTCTGTCACTCACACAAGAGTGCAGTAGTGGGATCCTAGCTTACTGCAACCTCAAACTCCTGGGCTCAAGCAATCCTCCTACCTCAGCCTCTCAAGTAGCTGGGATTACAGGAATATACCACCATGCCCAGCTAATTTTTTTATATTTTTTGTAGAGACGGGCTCTTGCTCTGTTGCCCAGAGCTGGTCTAAAACTCCTGGCCTCAACAATCCTCCAACCTTGGCCTCCCAAAGTACTGGGATTACAGGCATGAGCCACTGCAACTGGCCTATCTCTCTTTTTGCCTTTTTGGTTCAATGACATAAGAAGCCCAAAATGGTCCGATGGAAATCTCAACTTCTGATTCAGTGAAACTTTTGTTGTTTCTCTGTTGAAAGCATTTTCTTTTTGGGGACTAAAATCTTCAAGCCAGCAGAATGTATAGCTGCCAGGGTAAGAAAATCCTGCAAGTATAATTAGTTGTAATTGTGAGAGTCACCATTCCCACTTCTATCACTTAATTCCTGGACTCATGTATTCTGCCTGTGGCAAAAGTAGCACCATAAAACAATCTCTGATTCAAAGCATAAACAATATTCTCTAAAAGATAACTCCATCCTTTCAGGGTGTTATTTCTCAAGTGGAGCCATAACTGTGTCTTCACTAAACCATTCTACCATTCAATAAGGGTAGCTACTTCTGGATGATGGGATACATGAGAAGTTAGTTGATTCCACAGATATGAGCTCATCACTTCACTTTCTTTGCAAGGAATGACTTTCTTGTTTGCCACAATGCTGTATGAAACATCATAATGGTATATAAGACATTCCATGACTCTACAGACAATGGTGCTTGTAGAAACATTATGAGATGTGAAGGAAAATCCACATCCAGAATATATGTCTTCTCCACTGAGGTAAAATCTTCGTATATTCTGTTCATCATGGATGAATTAAAATGTAATTAATCTGCCACCAGATGGTAGGCTTATCTTCTGATCACCCCATGAAATGGTGTTGTATGGGAGATTTAAGGTTTAGCCCAGTGTGGACAGATTAGTCACTTGGCAGTAGTGATAACCAGGTCAGAGTTTGTCTAAGAAAGTCCTGGATGTTTAGCCTATGCATAGCTTCTGTCCATACAATTGTGACCACTTTGTTCATGAACCCATTGAGTAAGAGCTAATATAGTGGGGCAAACAAGCTGACTGACATCCACACACTTGTCATTTTGTCTACCAATTTATTTATTTACTCATTCTTGTTGTTGTTTGTCAACTCTGACTATTAAGAGTTTACTCTGTGATGGATGCCCTTTGTGGTGGGCACTCACATAGGACACAAAATTTTTATAGTCTCTATCTATTCTGAGAGATATATCTACATACTTCTTTGTCACACTTTCTTTTCATCGATCTTCAAAGTTTTTTCCTTCAAATCCATGACGATCCATCCAAACTGTTACCAACTTCCCATAAAGGATTATAGTTTTGTCCATGTAATAAATTTCACTCAATACATAGCAGTAAACACCTGATTAAAGTTTTGATAGTTCAATCATTCATCTGATTTCTGCATAGGTCAAACTGGTGAATTAAGTGGGGATGTGATAGGCATTGCTACCCATGCCTCTTTTAAGTCTTCAGGGTGGCGCTAATTTCTGCATTCTCCCAGGTCTGTGGAATTGCTTCTAATTTCAAATTCTATATTGTCAGGGAGAGGAAGTTCAAAGGGCTTCTATGTAGCCCTTCCCACATCATGGCTCACCACATAAGTCAAGTAGCCAATGTGGGTATTCTAACAGTTGTCACGTTAGTTTATTCTAGTTATATATTCAGGATCTGGGAAAATAACAAAAGGATTTGTATGCAGACCTACTGGGATAACTATGATTCATACATAAGACTCCATTTGGTGATTATAGGCCCCTTGTTGACATGTGGACCACAGAAGCATTGCAAGTCACCAGGATTAAGCTTCAATTCAGAGCCAGTGTCTAGTAATCCCTGAAAAGTCCTTTCCCCAGTGCACAGTCACTTTAGTAAATGGCTGAGGTCCCTTTGGGAAGGCCTACAGAAAGATGTTAATATGTACTTGCAGCAATAGTGCAGTGTCCTTCTTCAAGGAGACTAGGACTCCCCTGCAGTCAAGAGGCTCTGGATCTGTGAACAGACTTAGATTTGGAAACTGGATGAGAAGCTACATTTTTCACTTTAGCAACCCAAGTCAGGTTTCTTGCTGCCAGACTTAAAGTTTTTCCTGTTATGCAAATCAAGCAATATGCTACCAAGCTGTCTATCTCATTCCTAGGGACACTGTGATCAATTAGCCATCACTAAAATTCTCTGCAGGTCAAAGCATGCTAATTACTGCCACGTCCCTGTTTCCGTTGTTGGATGATGTGTCCACCTTGACTTTGATTACTTTAAGTGTGGCTGTTTTGCCTCTGCTCTTCTGTAATCTTTTTTTGAAATCAAGTAGACTATCTCAATGGTGGCATTTCCTACAGCCATTCATGGCTTACAATGGAGTCAATCACAGAGCCTTTTAGAGCTGCTTCTGTCACTGATGTATTTATCAATACCTTAGTGAAAAGAGTGTTTTCTAGATCTCCTTATGGAATGTAGTTGTGAGATACCCATCTCCCATGTGGATCATGCATGATAAATTCAGCCCAACATTTCTATCTCCCCAAGCCTTAGGATTCTCTTCTCATATAATGTCAGAAAAGCTCTGGCATCTCAATTTCACTAAATGGATGCTCCAGTGAGTTCACAGTCACTCAAACGTCTAAGTAAGTGTTTAAAAACACATCTAACTGCACAAGCCAATACATTAAACCTGGAGTCTCTATTAAATACATCCATATCAATGAATTTAGCCCAATCTAGTTTATATTCTGCCTTACTTGGTCTAACAACTTTAAAATCCATTACCACTCATGCTTCCTATATTTCCGCAAGTATATATTATTTAGGTTGGTGCAAAAGTAATTGCGGCCTTGAACCGTGAATTTTAAATCATTATAACTAAGCTCAAACACATCTTCATTAATCAACATAGGAACCATTACAACCAACACATTTTTGCCAACGAGAAATATTTGTTTATTCCTGTAGCATAAAATATGCGCTTCGGAATTCAATGAACACTTGGAAAGCATTTTCTGCATCCTGCTGACTGTGGAAGCATTTTCCCTGCAAAAAGTTGTCAAGATGCTTGAAGAAGTGGTAGTCAGTTGGCAAGAGATCAGATGAACATGGCAGATGAGGCAAAACTTTGTAGCCCAATTTGTTCAACTTTTAAAGTGTTCGTTGTGCAACGTGCGGTGGGCATTTTCATGGAGAAATGGGCCCTTTCTGTTGACCAATGCCAGCTGAAGGAGTTGCAGTTTTCAGTGCATCTCATCCATTTGCTGAGCATACTTCTCAGATGTAATGGTTTCACCAGGATTCAGAAAGCTGTAGTGGATCAGACTGGCAGCAGACTACCAAATAGTGACCATGATCTTTTTTTGGTGCAAGTTTGGCTTTGACAAGTACTTTAGAGCTTCTCCTAGGTCCAACCACTCAGCTAGTTGTCACCTGTTGTATAAAACCACTTTCATTGCACATCACAATCTGATCGAGAAATGGTTCATTGTTGTTGCATAGAATAAGAGAAGATGACAGTTCAAAATGACAATTTTCTTTTAAATTTTCACTCAGCTCATGAGGCAGCCACTTATCAAGCTTTTTCACCTTTCTCATTTGTTTCAAATTCAATTTGCTTCCAATATCAAACAGTAAATTCCAACAATCCCGAAAATGCAAGTACTTTTGCACTCAACTAATAGCATGGTCTTGCAACCTTTTGACGTACAAGCTATTTCCATTTCTTCTTGAAATATGGAAGATACATGTCCTCCTGAAGCATAATGAGACTTGACCCTTAGTGTGGGTTTATAGCAATGACGTGGTTACAGTGGCTTGAGGAAAATGAGCAAGGCCTTTCATGGTTATCACAGAGCTTTCCACATGAGGAAGGCTGGTCTTTTTAGCCATTGGAGGGCTAGCTTCTTGTACTTCTAAGGGAGTATAAGAATGACAAGAAGATTCAAGATTGTCAGTTTCATCTGAATCCAATAGGAGATCCCCATTTAGAGTTTTGGTATTTAATTCTTTCCTGATTCATGGCTTAACTCTCATATGAGAAACTAGGAGAGATTGAATTCAACTATTATTGTGATAAAGAAACTCACATGATTAAAAATCGAATTTGATTTTCAGCAATATCAGCCCCATGGCTACTAGAAATAAGAGGTTCTCTTTGGGTTGTTGTGGAAGCTATCTGGTTATTACAGTCACAGTTCCAGTGACATTATATCAATTCCAGTATAAAATAAGAATCTCACAACATTATACTTTCATTTCTCCTCTCCTACCCTACATGCTATTTTTGCTATACAGTTTATTTCTACCGAGATTATAAAGTAGATATTGTTGTCTACAGTATGGTGCTAGTTTCACTTGAAAGAATAAATTATCCTTTCAAAAATTTAAAACAAAAAAGGGTGTTTATATTTATGCATATAGAAGTTAGGTCCAGTAATCGTTTGTTTATGTAGAACCACATTTTTATCTGATATCGTTTGCCTTCTCCTTGGAGGACTTCATGAAATATTTGGTAGTACTTGTTGGCTATTGGTAAATTCTTTAAACTTTCGTATGTCTGACAAACCTCTTTATTTTTCTTGCATATTTTGAAAAATATTTTCCATGGGTATACAATCATAGGTTATCAGATTTTTTTGTTTTATCTTGTTTTTATTTTCTCTTAGCATTTTAAATGCCTTATGCCTTTGATTTACATCATTTCTGATTACAAATCTGCTATACATCATCTTTGTCATTTGTCATCTGACATTCCTAATGTAATAAGTAATTTTGTTCAGGATACTTTTAGGGCATTTTCCTTATCACTGGTTTTAATGCACTTCAGTTATAATGTCCAATAGTATATTGCTGTGCTTGGGGTTTGTTGAGATTCTTATGTCTGTAGCTTCATAGTTTTCAGGAAATTCCTCATCATTTCTTCTTTAAAACTTGCTCTGCTTTCCTTAGAGGACTCCAGTTATACTAGGTCACTTGAACTTTTGCCACAGCTCACTAATGCTCTACTCATTTTTTCTTGGTGTGCTTTATTTGGAATCTTTTCTATTGTTGTGTCTTTAAGTTCACTGATCTTTTCTTCAGAAATGTCTTATCTGCCATTAATCTCATCTAGTATATTTTTCATCTCAGGCATTTTAATTTTCACATCTAAAATTCCAATTTGGACTTTTATATCCTCTTATGGTTCTACTTAGTATGTTCAATATTTCCACCACTTCTTCAAAGCATATGTAAGACTACTGCATAATTTCCTCACAACATGCATTATGACTTCTTCTCCAATCATGTTTCTTTTTGTTCATCTAGTAATACTTGGGATATACTTTTACTAAAATAATTATGTGTGGCTTTTTAATTAAAATCCAAATATAATTAAATATCTCATATTTCATCTGCCATTCCTAATAGCAAACCTCATCTCATGGCATTTATTAACTTCTTTACTGACTTTATTCATCTACTTAGCACTGATCATCAATAGATCTCCTATATACTTTACTTATTTATTTGCTAATCATCTGTCTTCTCCCACTAGAGGTTAAGCTCTGAGAAGGTATTTTTGTTTGTTTCACCATCTACTGAATTCCACTGTCTATAACCATGCCAACACATATTTGCTGGCTGAATAAATGGGGGAATAAACACACATTTAATTAATTGATTGATTGATTGATTAAATTTGTAGAAAAATTCTTCATGAACAATAAAATGGAGGATGAGAGGAGATTGGAGAAAGAAAAACAGAGGCCATTACATGTCACAGTGCCTTTTATCATTATCTTCTACTTTCCTGATTACATTTCAGAAACTATTATTTAGAAGGAGACAGTGATATATTTTGTGGTTTCCTGAGCACTGTGTTTTAATCTAAATGTCCTATCAGAAACAGTCACCTAATGAAATGAACCATTTGCTTCACATTTCGTTTACTTTTATTCTTCAGGGTATACTTTTGCTGACTGCTTTTGTGAACCACTTTTTTTGCCACATATCAGAAGAACTTTAAACCACTTGACTTCTTTGCCCTCTGATTCAGATTGAAGGGTGAAGGACAGTTTTGTACACAAAGGAATGGATGATGTTTTAATTTTCTTTCCCTTGTTCCTGAGAAAGTCAGCTCTGTAAATCCTGCTATCTAAGTAATGAGACTTTTCAGTTTAGATTACACTTAAGGATTCCACAAAAAGAATATTATATTACAGCTTCTTTGTCTAGTTTCTAAATGCTGGCACTGATATTACCAGGCAGTGTAAAGATATCAATCATCAGAAAGCTTATTGACTGTCCAAAATAGTTCTATCAATATCTAATTTGCTGTCTGATCTAATGCATAGTCAGTCGGTACAATGCCAACATACTACTCTGCCTTTCAGAATATGCTATCTTTCCTTTCAGACAATAAGAAAAGCTTTCACTTTATCCTTGGATCCTACACACATAGAAATCCTCATCATGTAACAAGAGGAAAAATGTTAAAGAAAAACAACTTCTCTTTTCTTGTTTCTCTATTATCTTGTTTATCTATTATCTAGTTTAGCTTTTAAAATAATAGTGTATCTTCACAAGCTTTACATTAATAGTTAGGCTTCTTTAAAACATCCTGTAAGATTATTATTGAATTCATTAATAGCAAACACCTGATTATCACTTATTAGGAAGTCTTGCCCATTTGCAACTACATATCTAACTCTCTTGGCCACTGTGACTTTTATCTTGAAATGGCTTCTCAGAAGGACTATTTGGGCAAAAGTTGAGAGTAGCATATATATATACTTCCCAGGGTTCACATCTGATTCCAAATCCTTCTCTCATATAGTCTTCTGTTCATCCATGTGTATAGTCATGTTCTTGGCCAGGAAACCCTGGCCAAAGTATAATCAGTGGAACCTCCATTTTAGTGGAAATAGTCTTATTTTATCCATAAATAATCCATGGTAACTAAAGTACAACTCATATGTTCATTGGTTCTAATTCACCAAATATTTATTGATCACTGATAAATGTTTCAAGCTCTATGCTAATGACTTTGGACAAAACATTAATCAACAAAGATCTGATCCTATCTACATAGGGTTTAGAGTGTAATGAAAGAAAACCCCAGAAGTTCAAAACCTAACAGTTAATCTGAACTTGCCACATCTGTTTTATGATATGCATCCTATTTTCTCCTACCGCTATGTATAATTTGGAAAGTGTTTAGTAATTTAAGACACCCCATTTTAGAGCATGTTACAATTTTTAAAACTATTAAATTCTGTTTTCTCAACCTACTTTTTCACTTTTCATTCTTTTCATTTCCCTAAAGTGAAAGAATAGTTACAAATACATACAAAGTTATGTCTTATCAGTCTTCCTGAAAAATATGGTGAATTGGCCTCTGAATTAAACAGAAACTGATGGTAAGGGGCTTTTTTTCCTCCACTGCTAAAGAGAAACTTTGCAAATTTTAAAATGTTCCTCAATTTCCAGTGCTTACCTCAGTGATAGCAAAGGAATTTGCTCCTCAGCTGGCACTAGTTCATTTCAGAAACTTTATCAGAAAGAATATATATAACATAGGCAGGCATCCAGGATATCAGCAGAGAGGATTAAGGTACAAAAATGTAAATGTCAATTTAAATACTGACTAAAATAGCAAACTTTATGCCAAAATCCCCAAAAAATATCTATGTCTAAGATCCTCAGGGGGTGTTGGAGGGCAGTTATGTTTAATAAAAGCCTGACCTTTCTACAGTAGGAAAGTAAGAAAACTTCGCAGACTGTCAGTCTGGAGGAAAGATTGTTGGTGAGAAGAACTGAGCTTTAGCAGCTTCCAGATTTAGGCCTCCAAGTAAAACATTGGTCATTATTGCATGACAGTTGCTATGATGCTTCGCTTTATCCCACAAAAAATATGAAACGAAGCAGAACAAAAAGTCTTAGATAGGAGCTATGTGAATTTGCTATTGCAGCATAACAAAGAACACCAAAACTCAGTATCTTAAATCAACAAACCCTTATTTATTCTCACATGTTTGAGAGTCAGCTTTGTTTGGCTGATCTGGGCTGAGCTTGGATCAGGCAATTTTCCCCTTTGCTATGTGACACTCACCCTCTTGCAGGGACCAGCAGATTAGATGGGACACACCTTTCTCATAGTGATGTCAGAGTGCAAAAAGAAAACTCCAAGGTCTCTTGAGGCCTGGTCTGACTCAGCATCCTCTCACTTCTGCTTCATCGTCTCAGCTAAAGCAAATCACATGATGAAATCCAAAGGCAAAGATTCATAAAATATACTCAGCTTCTTGTGGGAAAGGAACTACCTAAATAGAAAGAGGGGTGAAAATATGCCAATTTGTGTAATATTCCCAGGCACCAACATGAATTCATGTGTTCTGTCTCCTTTGTAAAGGCCTTTAAACTGTCACGAACTGAATTTCTAGTCAAACCACATAAAGATGTTACTAGTTTTCTATTGGTGCTGTGAAAAACGGTGACAAATTTAGGGGCTTAAAACCACACAAATTTATTGTTTTAGTGTTCTCTAGGTCAGAATATCAACCAATATCCCATAAGGCTAAAATCAAGGTGCAGGCAGGGCTGTGTTCTATCTGCAGGCTCCAGGGTGGAGTTGGCTGTCTTACCTTTTCCAACTTCTAAAAGCTGATTGCAAACCTTGGCTCTGGTCCCTTTCTCCATCTTCAAAGCCAGCAAATTCAAGCTGAGTCTTTTTCATATTGCCACCTCTCTGGTTATCACCTGCCTGCCTCCCTCTTTCTCTCTTAATGGCCCTTGTGATAACATTGGTATTGCCTGGGTAATCCAGGATCACCTCCCAGTATTAAGGTCAGCTGATGAACATCCTTGATTTCACCTGCCAGCTTATTCCTCTTTTCCCTTGTAAACTAACATATACACTGTTTCTGATAAATAGAATATGAAAATTTGGGGAGGGTGGGAGACATTAATCTGCTAACTATAGGGATCATATTATTTTATATTACTAATAGCTTCTAAGAAACAAGAGATTATATGTTGATATGGTTTGGATATTTGTCTCCTCCAAATCTCATGGTGAAATGTGATACCCAGTGTTGGCGGTGGGGCCTCGTGGGAGGTGATTGGATCATGGAGGTGGATCCCTCATGAATGAATTAGAAACATTCTCTTGTTGATAAGTGAGTTCTCCCTCAGTTCATGCAAGATCTGGTTGTTTAAAAGAGTCTAGAAGCTCCCCTTTATCCTCTCTTGCTTCTGCTCTCACCATGTAACGGGCTTGCTCCCAGTTCACTTTCTGCCATGACTGTAAGCTTCCTGATGCCCTCCCCAGAAGCCAAGCAGATATGGCTGCCACGCTTGTGCAGCCTGCAGAATCGTGAGCCAATTATATCTCCTTTTATAAATTGCCCAGTTTCAGGCATTCATTTATGGAAACACAAAAATGGACAAACTCACATGTTCTTGGAGGATGGTGAAGTGTGCTCCCCTTGTGGCCTATATTTTTTAACAACATTTATAGTTATTCTGATTATATAAGTAATTTGGGTTCTCAGTGAATATTTTTGTGAATAAAAAAATGAGAAACAAACATTATCTTACCAATTTGGCAGCTACTTTTGATATTTTTGAGAATATACTTTCTATACAAAATATATATTTATGTTTATGTATTTTTATTTAAATATCATACTAATATACAGTCAGTTAATTAACTTATGTGATTGACTAATAGAATTGTTCTTGGCACGATTAGGGGAAAGAATTAAAAACAAGCAAACATAGGGCCAAACTGGATGTAAAAAGTGGATATCTTTGAATAATCTGGAGAAAGCAGTGGTTGCCACTTATTGTGGCCATGTTCCAAACTTTAAACTCTTGCCTTTCTTTGCCCCTTCAACTGTGTTCAAACAAACAAAATTTCTAGATGGGTGTAGAAATGAGAGAAGTCAGTGCGGGACAGACTGTTTTAGGACCCTCATAACAGCATAATCTATTAGGAACTTCACTAGCCTTATTTCATATGCTAATAATGTTTTACAGTATTTAAGAAAAATACATTTTTAATTTTTCTTGTTTTTGTAATTTAGGAATCTCCTTCCTCCAAGGAGTATGAACCAACTTCAGAAATATAATGGAAGTGCTGTGATTAATTAGACCAATTATATCATTAATGTAGTATGGAAAAAACAAGGTACATTTTTCTAGCAACCAGTTATTATCTCTGGGAGCTTGAGCCTACAATTCAAGATAACAGAACACAAATTGAAATAATATATTCAGTTTTTTGGCGAGGAAGCCAAACATGATAACTGAAATCTGGCATAAATCATAGCCCAGACATTAGAAAGCATTGAATAGAAGAGTGGGAATTCAGTAACCACATAGTAGCAAATCTCATTTTTTTTTCTTTTTCTTTTTGAAATAGAGTCCTGCTCTGTCACCCAGGATGGCATACAGTGGCACGATCTCAGATCACTGCAACCTCCGCCTCCCAGGTTCAAGTGATTCTCCTGCCTCAGCCTCCTGAGTAGCTGAGATTACAGGTGCCTGCCACCACACCGGACTAAATTTTTGTATCTTTAATAGAGATGGGGTTTCACCATGTTGGTAAGGCTGGTCTCGAACTCCTGACCTCAGGTAATCTCCCCACCTCAGCCTTCCAAAGTGCTGGGATTACAGGCGTGAGCCAACGTACTTGGCCAGCAAATCTCATTTTTATATTTGCATGTATGCTTTTCAGTTTGTTAAGTTTTTTTTTAGAAACAGTTCTTGCCTTTAAGAAATTCATAATCAAAAGTGGGAGATTCACATATACATAAACTTAACATAATAGAGATATGAACAAGGTACTCTGAAAGAAGAGAAGAAGGTAGTTAATTGTCCCTGAAGGTGGTCAAATCCGAATGGTTCTATAAAACTGCTATTGTCAGGACAGTGGTAAGAGTACAAATTTCCCAATTCCCAACACATACTCACTACTTTCATAGTACTGCTTTTAAAACACAAAATGTAAACGAAGTGCATGTATGAATTAACGTCAATCATATACATACATGTGTCACCTAGTTATGATTCTTTTGGGAGCAAGCTATGAAGAATAGACTCAGGATTCCTACTCATTCTCTATGTGGCCTTGGGCAAGCCAGTTGTTCTCTCCCATCCATTTCTCACGTCCCTAAAATGACGGAACAGAATCAGTGGCTTCTAAAATCTACCAATTGCTCCCGCATTGCATGTTTCTATCATTTGCTATTTAGTGATCTAAGCTGGAATCTAACACATATTGAGAGATAGTCCTCCATAGCATTTCTGTGTACCTCATATCAGATTTTGTTCCAGACTATCTTTTTAAGGATGTTTATATAGCAAACAGCTTTGGAAGGGAGAAATAGTGTCACTCTCTGGGGCAGAGGCAGATTTATTTCTGAATAGAATTATACAGACAATACTTCCACGCTGGGGCAAAGTCGGGCAGTTTGCTGGCAGTCCTCTTTTAGAAGACTGAATGGTCCTAGATTCAGGGTTCCTCAGCTTTGGCAAAAATTGTGTGCACGGGCAGAATTCACCTGGGCCCACATCTACTATCACCCCTATGGGAAGTAGGGGTAAGGCAATTGGAGGTAGTACTACCTGCTGTGCTACGAATAAAAAAGTCCCTTCCTCTCACCAGGAGTCCGGTGACTTCTGCCAGCCTTTATAAAATTGTGGCAGGCTAACTTGTCAGCTTGCAAGTAAGGCAAAAATCTCAGACCCTTTACAATCTTGGCAAACTATTACACATTCACAGAAACCTATGAGAGGAGAGACAGGCTTTGCGTAGGGCTGTCCACTCCTTGATATTGATCTTAATGTTTCAGAAACGCTCAGGTCACTAAGTAATTTACATTCTCTGGGTTCAGGTAATAATTTTATGTTAGCTGCCAAAATACACAAACCATAAATTCTCAGTGGTTTACACAATTGAAGACTACTTTTTGCACATTTAAATTTGAAAGTGAGTGTGCCTATAATCTGTGAGAGACTGGGTAAGCATTCCAGGACCCAGGCTGCTTTCATCTGGTGTCTCCACTATGTTCTACGTCAGTGTAGTCCTCTGCATTTTGTGATGATATGAAAACACCAAGGGTCATGAGTGACATGTTGCTATGGGTGATGCCTAGAATGGTGTACATCTTTTCTTTTTATCTTCAGTTGGTCAGCACTCAGATTTATGACCATACTTACTGCAACGGAGGCTACAAAATGTGATCTGGCTATACATCAGAGAGAAACAAAAATGGCATTGATGACCAATAAGTCATCCTCTGCCAGAGCTAGGCAAAACCAACGCTCTCCCTCCCTCCCTCCCTCCCTCCCTTTCTCTTTCTTTCTTTCTTTCTTTCTTTCTTTCTTTCTTTCTTTCTTTCTTTCTTTCTTTCTTTCTTTCTTTCTTTCTCTCTTTCTTTCTTTCTCTCTTTCTTTCTTTCTCTTTCTCTCTTTCTTTTTCTTTTCTCCCTTCCCTTCCCTTCTTTTCTTTTATTTCCTCTTCTCTCTCTCTCTTTTTTTTTATTCCAAGAAGGGTCTTGCTCTGTCACCCAGGCTGGAGTGCAGTGGCACTCTCACGGCTCACTGAGGCCTTAACCTCCCAGGCTTAAGTAGTCCTCCCACCTCAGCCTCCCAAGTAGCTGAAACTACAGGTGTGTGCCACCATGACTGGCTAATTTCTTAAATTATTTTTGTAAAGACGGGGTTTCCCTATGTTGCTCAGGCTGGTCTTGAACTCCTCAGCTCAAGAAATCCTCCCATCTCAGCCACTCAAAATGCTGGGATTATAGTTGTGAGGCACAGAACCTGGCCCCAACCCCGTTACTTATGAAATTCAGATCTGTTGGCATGTAATAGTTCCCTAATTGATTATTCATAAGCCAAACTATTCAAACCATTTGCCTCCATTTGTAAAAATCATCATTATTATAACTTTAAATGTATCTCAATAATCGTTTTATGTTTGCATAGCAAATAGTTTTTTCCTTTATGGAAATTTTAAAATATTATTCAAGTTTCTCTTCACCTACATGAGGAAAACAATTTGATTTTTGCAAAACGAGAGGAGCTACAGCATGTGAGTCACAGCCTTGTCTTACCACCAGGCCCCATGGTGGTAGGAGAGTCAATTGCTCAGAGTTACCTAAATGTTGTACAAGAAATATTCAGGTCCAGAAACCACCAGCTTCTCCAGGACTTAACAAGGGACTTGGTGTGCCTGCGGTCCTGGAGATTGTAATCTATTGAACTTTGAGATGCTGCCAGAGAAGTGTGTTGTCTCACATACATCATGCAATGAAGGTATCTCTGTGTTCTGGGAAGCTGTTTGTTTGTTTGTTTGTTTGTTTGTTTGTTTGAGACGGAGTCTGGCTCTGTCGCCCAGGCTGGAGTCCAGTGGCGCAATCTCGGCTCACTGCAAGCTCTGCCTCCCGGGTTCACGCCATTCTCCTGCCTCAGCCTCCCGAGTAGCTGGGACTACAGGCACCTGCCACCACGCCCGGCTAATCTGGGAAGCTTCTTATTGTGAAATATTTCAATAATTCAGATTAAAAACATTACTGCAAAGATATTCTGGGATGATTTTGGGATCCCTCATACTTGAAAGCATGATTCCCTAGCTCCTTTGGTAGATCCCATTTATATTTGCATGGAAACTTTAGAATCATTCTTACCTCCTTCCTCTGCCTTTTTTCTCCTGGGCTCAACAGTTCTCATCCCAACAACCAAGTTTCATGCCTCATAATGCTAACCAAATGATTTCGCTCTAAAATGCAAATAGTATGTCACTCTCTTAATTTAAAGTGATTAATGCAGTCAAAGGTAGTGTTTAAATTTCTTAGCTCTGACGGGCGTGGGGCTCACACCTGTAATCCCAGCACTTTGGGAAGCCGAGGTAGGCAGATCACTTGAGGTCAAGAGTTTGAGACCAGCCTGGCCAACATGGTGAAACCATGTCTCTACTTAAAATACAAAAATTAGCTGGATGTGGTGGCGGGCACCTGTAATCTCAGCTACTCAGGAGGCTGAGGCAGGAGAATCCGTTGAACCCGGGAGATGGAGGTTACTGT
Source organism: Homo sapiens (assembly GCF_000001405.40). NCBI lineage: Eukaryota > Metazoa > Chordata > Mammalia > Primates > Hominidae > Homo > Homo sapiens. The sequence continues at coordinate 96,010,912 of NC_000004.12, read as the reverse complement.
GAGCTGAGACCACACCACTGCACTCCAGCCTGGGCAACAGAGTGAAACTCTGTCTAAAAAAAAAATAAGATAAATTAAATGAATAAATAAATTTTTTAGCTAATTAGAAGAAGCCCCCTAGAATATGATTCCTGTTTATTGTTTTACCCTATCTCTTGCCACTCAAGAGTTGCAAGCATTCTCCACTCTAGCCGTGTTATAGTGTTTATAACTTGAAAACAATCATGCTGTTTCAAATGGCTATGCTTCTCTCCAGCCTGCTCTGTCTCCCTGAAAAGACCACTCTGCCTTCTTCCATCTAATCATTCTCCATCATCTTTTAAATCTTAGTTTAAGCATCTTTCCTTCTAAGAAAAATTCTATAATCTCAAGCCCTTTTAAAATTTCTTTTTTGATTTTCTGTAAAACTCTGTGAAAAAATAAATACAATACCACTTATCAGGTACTATTACTGTTGGTTTTTGTTTTTTCTTTCACAAAGCTCTAATATTGTGAAAAGACACCATGTCTTATTCTACTTAAATTGAAAGTTCACATAATTCTTAAAGTAGAAATAATCTCTCATTCAAAAATGTGTTAGTCATTGTTTGACACTCAAAATTTATTCCCCATAGAATCAATTTTACATACTTCAAAGACGTTCTTTCTAAAAGGTACTTTCCTGAATAAATTAAAGACTTTAAGGAAGATATTCTATGTGAAGCACATTTTTAAATAAAAACTATAGGCTTCTGGAGTTGAAGAGTTAATTCTTTGAATGTGACATCAAACAGAGATTGAACCACAATAGAACCTATGGTTATTTTAGAATCACATTTGAGAGATTTCCAAATTATAGTTGGAAATTATAGTTGTACCATAGGTACAAATTAGCAGGGCATCACAGATTAAACTCATCAGTTTAAGACTGAATTAGGATATATATTTATCATGACTTCCTAAGGGTTGGACAATAGTATTAAAGCACATACATTCCTAAGACATGAGTCATGTGGCTCTTAGTACTTAATCAAAGATTCAAGAACTATCCTGGTTCCAATGCTAAATTAAGAACTGCAATTTAAGGAGAGAATGAGACTGAAAAAAATGATTTATATGGTATTAAATATTCAATGTAAATTTGCAAATTGGGAAGTTTTATTTTTACTCAAGTTATTATCTATACTTTTTTTGGATGGAGAAAAGAGATAAATCTCAGATCTGCTCATATTTGTTCATAGCTTCTGCTTAGATCAGACAGCTGGCCTCAGATATCCTAAGGATTTTTCAATGCTCTGGGACATGCAATCAAGCAGAGTTTAAAACTACTGCAGTTCCAGTGACTGAAAGAAGCCAGAGGAATTTCAGTAGGGTACTGTGACAAGAAGCAGAGAAAGAGACATTGATTTATCGTTAGAACACACCACTGCAGAGGTTTAGGAAGAGCAATTTTGGCAGAGGACAAGGGCTAACATCCAGTGAGCCTAGCACTAGGGTGATTCATGAATATCAAGCTGTGAAGACCATCAGATCTTCACCCACCAGATAGAATGACCGAGAGATCCCGGGGGGCTGTAATTCTTATGTCCAATTTCTAGCCTTGCATTATTGAAAAAAAGGAGGCTGGGCATGGTGGCTCACACCTGTAATCCCAACACTTTGGGAGGCTGAGTGGGGGGTGGGGAGTGGGTCACGGATCACTTGAAGCCAGGAGTTCAAGACCAGCCTGGCCAACAGGGTGAAACCCCATCTCTCTAAAAATACAAAAATTAGCTGGACTTGGTGGCACATGCCAGTAATCCCAGCTACTCAGGGGGCTGAGGCAGGAGAATCACTTGAACCCAGGAGGTGGAGGTTGCAGTGAGCCAAGATCGTACCACTGCACTCCACCCTGGGCAACAGAGTGAGACTCCATGTCAAAAAAAAAAAAGAAACTGCTACTACTTTCTTTAAGGACAGGAATAACTGCTTCTTGGGGATGCAGAACACAACTTGAAACCTTGGATTTTCTGTAGTTAGTTCATTTAGCACTAACGTATTGTATATAGGAAGCTTAAAACAAATAATATATTCCAAATAGCAGAGCAAAAACACAAATTACAATAATTATGCTGATGGTGAATTTCCCAATGGCAAACATGGAAGTCAGGATACACTGGAATAATTTCTTTAAAATCCTAGAGAAAGTTAGTGCTATTAGATTGTCGCAAAAGTAATTGCAGTTTTTGCCTTTGAAAGTAATGGCAAAAACTGCAATTGCTTTTGCACTTATCTAATAGCATTAACTTTGCATTGAAAGTAATGGCAAAAACCACAATAACTTTTGCACCAACCTAATAACTTAAATTTTTTACCCAGTAAAAATAATTTTGGAAGATGAGGATGAAGTAAAGGTGGTTTAAGAAAAATGAACACTGACAGTGTTTAGCATAAATAGGCCCTTACCATAGGAAATCCTAAAAGATATATGTTAAGAAAATGAAAAATAATCTGAAGAGGAATGTGAAATGAAAGAAGGAATGGCAAGGGAAAAAAAGTAAACATCAGTATAAGTCTAAAGAAATATTAACTGAAAATAAGAATAGTGATTTTTTTTTAGTGAGGTTAAAAAAACCCATATAATCAAAATGACAAAATGCACCAGCAAAAATCTGAGTGTGAGGTGATAATCCAAATTTAAACACTGTAGATTTCCTTTAAGTTCAGAAGAACAGTAAGCATATTATTCAAGCTCAGTCTTTGTTATGATAGATATGCACATAAATGTCTATGGTAATCACTAAAAAAAACCCACAGAATGCATAACTTTCAAAATAATATGGAGATAAGCAGTATGGGGGGAAAATCAACAAAATGAAATTAATTAAGAAGGCAGAAAAATAGGGAAGAAAATATAATAAATAAAATAGTAAAAAAATGCACATATGTGACATTACAATGAATGCTCTGTTTAGTTGGGAGAGTTTCAGCTGTATGGATAAAATGATGTGCTGTTTACAATAAACATACTTAACACTAAAAATTGAGAGAAAAAGGATGAAAATAGAAATATCAGTCATTACTAAGAAAATCTTTTATCACTGTATTAAAACCAGATAAGTAGACTTTAAGGAAAAAATAATTGCTATTTTTTTTAAGTTACCATCTAATGATAAACATTTACCTCACCAAGACGGTCCTTTTATTAGTCAATTAATATTTGTGACAAAGCTATTATACACATGGCATAGTTCTTAATACTGGACATATGACAATGAAAAAGTAAATGCAAAGCCCTACCCTCATAAGACTTAACTTTCTAGTGTAAAACTTCTTACAGTCTACTGGGAAAACAAATTACAGTTCTAACCTGTATACAACTAATAAATACATTAAAAATTGTGACATAATTAAAGGAAACATTGATAAATCCATGCTCATGGTAGAAGACGTTAACACATCTCTTCCTCTAATTGTTATAACCAAATACACACAAAATCTGTAAGGAGGTAAGGTTATAGAATACTTGAACCACACAAATTATATGCTTAATATAATAGCCTTACATAAAACACTGCACCCAGTAATCCATCTCAAGCTCACATGAAACATTTATGTTAAATGACATGTAATAGAACATAGTTGTAGGACCTGTGTCAGCAAATTTCAAAGCATTGGCTTTATACAGAGAACATTAACTGACTAAAATATAATAAAAAGAGGCATTAATAATTTAAAAATACACAAAACTATAAAAACCTATATATCTAATAGCTTGTGTGTTAATGGAGTCAACATAGCAGAAATTAGAGAACACATGAAACAGAATGATAATGAATATTACATATCAAAACATGTGACATGCAGCTAAAAGTCCTTAGAGGACTTAAGGGCTTTTATTTAAAACAAATAAACCTACAAATTAAGGAATTAACCACTTAAGCCACTTAAGATGTGAATTAAAAAATGTGAAAAAAATAATATGTGAAAAAAATAAAATGAGGAAATAATAAGGAATACAATTGTATGATGTATACCTTAAAATGAGCAATAAGCACAAGAAACTGTAGAAATTGAGTATAACTTCCAAAATGAGAGAAAAACTATAAATTTGGAGAGCTAAATTTTAAAAAAAGAAAATGAAAAAGTGTTGACATAGGAATATAAGATGTAATAATCACTACAAATATATTGCAAATATTTAACAAAATAAGAGACTATCATAAATAATTCTGTGTAAATACAGTTTAAAATGTCAAAAATGTAGATAAATTTATAGAAAAACTAAATATAATAAAACTGGTTCAAGAAGAAACTGAAACAATAAATGGTATTATACCCATAAATTAGCTTAAAATCTTTCCACAAAGAAAAAAGTTTTAACTCATACAATTTTAAAGGTATTCAGGAATAGATCATTCAAAATTTTAACTTATTCCAGAGGAAAAAAAAGCCACACCATACTCAGAACATACCTCCAACATTTTAAGATAGTATTATAACCTCAATACTATAATCAAGCAAAAACTATCCATTAGAGAAAAAGTATGGATAAATTTTAGCAATGATTGTATATGCTAAAATATTACATAAAGTATTAGCAAATTAAATGTAGCTATATGTATATATATTAAATATATATATCATGTATAGTAATAACATGATGAAATTGGGTTTATCCCAGTAATACAAGGATATTTGTCTTTGTAAAAGCTAGCATTATGCTTCACCATATTAACAAATTCAAGGGAAAAAAACCACAGGAACTCTTTAAAAGATTCAAGTAAAATGCACTTTTAAAAATCAATATCTATTCTTGATAAAAACTCTTAATAAACCAAGAGTATGTCTAAATCATACAGAAGAATTCACAGTGACTCAATGGCTGAACTAATAAAGAGCACCAACAGTCAGGTGCTGATATTAATATTGTGTCTTGAATTTGTATTTCTATTGTAAAAAGATATAAGATTAATTTTAAGTATAGTTTCAACTTATACGACTTGAGTAAATTCAATTGCTATAAATAGATATGTAAAAGGCTTCTGCTAATTTTAAATCTATATTCAGGAATTGTTTACGAAGAAATAGTAGAACTATAATACGTGTTGATAGATTATATTTAAAAGCAAACAGCATCTCCCATTTTTCTTCATGCTTGTTAAGTCTTAACGTAGCCCTTTATATATCTAAAATCCCTAACAACCATTTTTACTTGCTATTTATTGCAACATCGCCTACAGAGACACAAGAGAAGTGACGTAACTTGTCTAAAGTATCGTAGTATATTGGTGTTGGTGATCACTGTACATATCACTTAAAATGAACGCCTTTGTTGAGTCCCTTTTTTCCTACCAAATGTGGTATGTTTATGGCAGTCTTAGATGATTTATTTCCTTAGTACGTTAATGTAAATTTGTTGTTTAGAAGTCTTTCATTTCTCATTTCTATTTGAATCCCAATTTATTTGATTTATTTACGAATGAGATATATATTATTATATTTAAGTTTAAATATATATAAAAAATTTACCACATCCTATTAAATAGAAATATTTAAAGAGAAAAGAGAAAAGGAACTATGAAATTTAAATTGTAAATAGTTTAAATACTGTTTTTAGCTAATGGCTTCAGATATTTGTAAACATATTGATTACATAGTTATCTGTATTGCCCTTCAAATTTATATCTGCATTTATATATTTTATATTTACATGCCAAGCTAAGATATTTGGTACTGGAGTGTCCATTGAGACAAGAGTCAATTTCCATTTTTCCTATAATGCCAGAATAATACTAACACATAATGTTTTATATTTTTTCTCTGGGGAATGATCGTAGAAAGGATTACAGTAATTATCTACTGTGAGGAATGTAAGGTGTGTTTCAGCTGAAATCTTGCCATTTGTTTAAAAATTTTGCCATTTTAATTGACAGACATCAATGTAATTGTTGATTAAAACATGTAAACATCACTAAACCACAAGTAAAGACATTATAGAGCAAGCTAAGTGCAATTGTATGATGTATCCCTTAACTTTTTGGCCATAAGTAAAATATAACTGTTATAAGCATACATTGCTATACTGTGAAAAGTCAATCATTAATTAATTAATTGGTTATTATGTATCATTGATCAAGGGGCACACATATGTTTTAAGTGCTGTGTATTGCCAAAATGCTTTTTTAAAGGAGTTATAATCCAGCTTCAAGTATGAGAGTGGCTATCGCACAATTCTCACACCCGCAAAACATTCCTGGAATTTTCTTTTTTTTTTAATAGTAGGTTATTTGACCAGTAAAAATATCTTCTAATGTTGTTTTAGTGCTATTCATTAAAAGATAGTCATTGTATGCCTACCGAGAGTAAGGCCTTGTTATGGTTCCTTCATACACACTAGTGAGCGAGACAGACAAGGCACTGTTCTCAACAGCTGGTCTTCCAATAGAAAGAGAAAGATCCCAGTCTAGTGGAACAACAGATAAGGAGATAAGACTCTTTCAAATACCAAGACGACAAATAAATAGGAAAATGTAGTTGAAATAGAAGGATCTTATGGATAAATGGTTGGCAAAGTCCTCCCTGATGATATTTTAACTTTAGACCTAAAGTACAGAAAAAAAAAAACAAAAAGATCCTTTTGAGGATCTGGGAATAAAAGATTTCCTGGACAGCTAGTGCAAAAGCCCTGAGAAAGATCAAATATTGTCATTTCTGAGAAACCAAAATAACAGCATGTGGCTAGTGTGAAAAACAAGGCTACAGGCAGTGGAGACAGGCAGGAGATACAGCTGTTTCACGTAGAAAAATAGTTTTCAACCCTGACTGTGCGTCAGGACAAAGCCCTGCAGCGTGACAGGGTTTAGACATTCAGCAGAAGAGAGGAAACCTGAAAATCAGACAAAGATAAAATAACCAGTGAGGCTGGAGCAAAACCAAGGGAAATAATCAATGAAGCAAGGAAAAGAGAGGGTGAAGAAAAAAGAGGGAGTGGTTAGCTGTGCCAAACATTGGTGATAAAAGAACAGAGAAAGGATGCCAAAGTGATTTTTAAAATGGAATCCAAGCTGAAAAGACGAATGCAAGGACCAAAGGGGGAAACAGTGAAAGAGATAGAATCAACAGATTAGAACTCTCAATGTACTTTTTCAAAGAATGATAAAATAAGTCCTGAGTAATTACTGGAAGGAAATTGAGATTTTAGAGGCATCTCAGCGACGATGGATAATTCTTTTGAGAATGTTCACCCTAAAAGGGAGAAACCATGACAGATAGGAAGAATGAGGGCTCACTGGATTTGTTGTTGTTGTTTTGCTCTGCAGTTTAATTTATGTTTTAATGGAAGAAATTACAACACATTAAAGCACATAAGGGAAAGCTATTGTATTGGATATACACCCCTCCTCAGATTCCCTTATCACCGCTGTCTTCTGACCTCTCAACTATTGCTGTCGCTGACTATAATTTTTAAAATTTCTCACAGGGATTATGCATTCCATTTGTTTTTCCTTTTTGTCTTCTCTTGCTAATTTCACACTAAGAATAATCCTCCCTGTGACCAAAAGGGTAGATATATTTCTTCTAAGTTTTTAGAGTTTATATCATTCACTGAGCACTTCAATCCAGCTGAAACTTAATTTGATATGGTCTGATATGGGATCTAAATGTATTTGTTTAAAATAGAGTTAATAAAGTACTCTAATTATTTTTATTCCAAATCCATTGATTAATGAGTTTCTTTTATTATGTTTAAAATTTTATATAATTGTGTTTTAGGTTTTTCTCTCATTTAATAGTATTTATTCTGTTCAGTCTTCAGACTGAACCTAATCGCAGCATTTTAACATCTGATGGAATCTCTTCTAGATTGTTTTTATTTTTAAATTTTTCTCCAGTTTTTAGAATTTTGTTCTTATTCAATATGAACTTAAAAATAATTTTGTCAAATTATAAAAGAAAATTTGCTTCACTGAATAAATTCATTCTAAAAGAACATATTTCTTTATAATATTCTGCCTTTCTATGTAGGAACATGCTACCCACTTCATTATTTAATCTTTGTGTCTCTCGGAAAATGTATTTAATGTTCTACATGCTATCCCTGTTACCTTTAGGTTACTCCTTGCTCCATCTATTTTGAATAGTTAATAGCTCAAAATTCAAATATACTTGAAAAATTAATACAAGAGGCTTTAGGTCAAAGCTGATGTTGCCCAGGATGACAGCCATTTTCAAACTGATAAAAGATATAAATTCATGCTCGTGGGACAATAAACTGAAACAAAAATAGGAGATTCACTATTTCAGGTCATAATAGCATTGCGTACATTATATAATTATCTTCCCTTAAAAAACAAAAAGAAGGAAAAGAACATCACAGCTGTTCCCAAATGACAAAGTCACAATGTGTTTTTCTGGTGTGGTTCTAATCAAAAGCAGTCTTCCTGAGGGAGGCAATCTCTTCTGGAACAAGCATGATTTTTAAAGTTACGTGTACACTGCTCCTTCATGATTTCATCATTGTGAATTGATGATGGTTTACTTTAATAAGTTTTGGCATCTGGAAGGAGTAAACAGTACACTTTGTATGAAGCAAGGTCCCTTTAGAATTTTCTGTTCACTTATTTCACCATAGGTAAATTAGCCATGACTGAGTTTTAGACGAGACAAAGGGGAAAAGATGTCCTCCTGGTCCTGTCAGCATTTCTGAAAGGTTTAATCCTAACAGCTGAAGTGAAGATGATGAATTACATCATCATTTATGACCAATCAAGCAGAGGAAAGGGCCAAGACAGAAAAGAATGCTTTAGCCTTTTTTATGTTGTATTTAAAAAAAAAAGTCACATTGCACTTATTTTGAAAAATGTCACTGGTTTCCTCTTGGGTTTATATCATCTCTAGGGACTACTTTGTTTCTGGTTGCTTTCTCAAATATATTGAGAAGCTACCCTAGGGAATAAAACACATGAGTACTTGAAAAACAAAAATAAAATCACCTTTCCACCCTCCTAATAATTCTGAAATTTTCTAAAGTTCAAGAGAAAGGCAATCCTTTAAAATTGCTTTTTTTCTTTTCTATTGAAAAAAGCCTTCCACAAAAAAGTCAGTTAGAAGGCCAACATTTTATTATATTTATTTATTTTTTATTTTTATTTACTTTTAAAAATTTTTTTATTTCCATAAGTTACTGGGGAATAGGTGGTATTTGGTTACATAAGTTCTTTAGTGGTGATTTGTGAGATTTTGTTGCACCCATCACCTGAGCAGTATACGCTGCACCCTATTTGTAGTCTTTTATCCCTTGCCGCCTTCCCACCCTTTCCCCCTATGACCTCAAAGTCCATTGTGTCATTCTTGTGCCTTTGCATCCTAATAGCTTAGCCGCCACTTATGAGTGAGAATATACGATGTCTGGTTTTCTATTCCTGAGTTACTTCACTTAGAATAATAGTCTCCAATCTCATTCAGTTCACTGTGATTGCCATAATTCATTTCTTTTTATGGCTTAGTAATATTCCATCATATTAATGTACCACAGTTTCTTTATCCACTTGTTGATTGATGGGCATTTGGGTTGGTTCCATGTTTTTGCAATTGTGAATTGTGCTGCTATAAACATGCCTGTGCAAGTATCTTTTTTGTGTAGTGACTTCTTTTCCTCTCAGTAGATACCCAGTAGTGGTGTTGCTGGATCAAATGGTAGTTCTTCTTTTAGTTCTTTGAGGAATCTCCACACTGTTTTCAATAGTGGTTGTACTAATTTACATTCCCACCAGCACTGTGGAAGTGTTCCCTGTTCACCGCATCCATGCCAACATCTACTTATTTTTGATATTTTGATTATGGCCATTCTTGAAGGAGTAAGGTGGTACCGCATTGTTCTCATGATAATGAGTGGGTTTCCTGAGATCTGATGGTTTTAAAACAGTTTGGCATTTACCCTGCTTGCACTCATTCTCTCTCCTGCAACCCTGTGAAGAGGTGCCTTTTACCAAGATTATAAGTTTCCTGAGGCCTCCCCCGCCATGTGGAACTATGAGTCAATATAAGCTCTTTTCTTTATAAATTACCCAGTCGTGGGTATTTCTTCATAGCAGCATGAGAACAGAGTAATACAGTAATTTGCTTCCACAGAGAGTGGGGTGCAGCTATAAAAATACACAAAAATGTGGAATTGACTTTGGAACTGGGTAACAGGCAAAGGTTGGAACTGTTTGGAGGGCTCAGAAGAAGACAGGAAAATGTGGGAAAGTTTGGAACTTCCTAGAGACTTGGAGGGTTCAGAAGACAAGAAGATAGGAGAAACTTTGGAACTTTCTAGAGACTTGTTGAAAGGCTTTGACCAAAATGCTGATAGTGATATGGACAATGATGTCCAGGGAGCTCACATCTTGCATTAGCATGACCTGGATTTGAGAAACAGAATCAAAGAAAATCATTTTGGAACTTTAAGGTTTAATGACTGCCCTGTTGGATTTTGGACTTGCACTGGGACTGTACCCCATAGTTTTGGCCAATTTCTCCTATTTGGAATGGTTGTATTTACAACCATTTACAATGCCTGTACCCCCATTGTATCTAGGAAGTAATCAACTTGCTTTTGATTTTACAGACTCTCGTCAGAAGTCTTAGATGAGACTTCGGACTTGGACTTTTGGATTAATGCTGGACTGAATTAAGACTTTGGGAGGACTGTTGAAAAGGCATGATTGTGTTTTAAAATTCGAGGACATGAGATTTGGGTGGGGCTAGGGGCAGAATGATATGGTTTGGCTATGTCCCCACCCAAATATTACCTTGAATTGTAATCCCCATAATCCCCAGGAGTCAAGGGTGGGACCAGGTGGAGGTAATTGAATCATGGGAGCAATTTCCCCATGCTGTTCTCCTGATAATGAGTGAGTTCTCACGAGATCTCATGGTTTTATAAGTGTCTGGCAATTCCCCTGCTTGCACTTGTTCTCTCTCCTGCCACCCTGCAGAGAGGTGCCTTCCACCAATATTGTAAGTTTCCTGACACCTCCCAGCCATGTGGAAGTGTAAGTCAATTAAAGCTCTTTTCTTTATAAATTATTCAGCCTCATTTGTTTCTTCATAGCAGCATGAGAATGGACTAATACAATAGGTAAACAGTAAAATTCAATTTACAATAAGTTTTACAGAACTTAGGACTTTGAGACAATAAAGAAAAGGAGAAAAAAGAAACAACATTTAGGCGAAAAAGCCTTGGTGTTTCAGAGTTAAAAAAATAAAGGTTAATTTAGCCTACAGGTGACATGTTAACTGAAAACATTTTCAAACATATGAACTAATAATGTTCAAAATGTCGCTACCAGGAAGAATATTTAGGAATTAGTGGAAACATGAAAGGGACAGTATAGTATAGTGCACGGTGCAGAGACTCTGTAACATAAAGATCTTATTTTAGTGCAGACTCTAATATGTAATATACAATTCCTATAAATTTAAATTCAATGAGCTGAGATGACTAATGAAAATTTTTATTTCAAACCATAGACCATGTTACAGAGAATAATATTCATAAATGTAAGGACCAGACAAATTAACAAAGGTTTTTATGGACTGAATGTTTGTGTTCTCATTCCCCGTCACCCCAAAATTCATATGTTGAGGCTGTAACATGGTGGTAGTTGGAGGTGGGGCCTTGGGAATGTAATTGGATTTAAATTAGATCATGAAGGTAAAGCCCCCATGATGGGATTGGTGCCCTTGTAAGGGAATAAAGGAACCAGAGCTTGCTCTGCTCCCTTCTGCCATGTTCAAATACAGTGAAAAGATGGCTGTCTATTAACCAGGAAGCAGACCCTTACCAGACATGGACTCTACCAGAGTCTTCTTGATATTGGAGTTCTCAACCTCTAGAACTGTGAGAAATTAGTGTTTATTGTATAAGCCAGAGTCTACGGTGTATTTGTTAAAGCAGCCTGAACTAAGATAATTAACACTTTGTCATATTTGCTTTCTTCAAGGATAGTAAAATAACAAATGGAGTTGAAGTCATATGTGCTCTAGTTTCATATCCCTTCCCCCTCCCCCCTAGACATAGCCACTATAATAAATTGGATGGTTATACTTCTTGTTCATAATTTCATATTTTACTACATATATATCTATGAATTATATATAGAATTATATGTGTATTGATTTTATGGCCTTTTTCCCTGAATTATTCTGCAAGTTGCTTTCTCCATTCGGGGTCTACATATAAAATAATTACATTTGTTTATACTGGCCTACCGTATTCCACTATGTGAATCTGCCATATTCTGTTGACCCTATTCTTCTATTAGCATATGCCTAGGATTTCCATATTTTAACTATTTCAAACAATGCTGCCATAAACACCTTGGTGTTTCCTGGCACACATGTGTGAGGGCTGCTCTAGACAATATACCCGTAAGTGGAGATTGGAGTGAGTCACAGGATGAGTAGGGGAAGTGCACATCTTCAGCTTTATCAGAAATTGTGAAATTGCTCTTCAAATGGTTTTACTCATTTATATTCCTGCAAGCAGGATATGAGAATTCCCATTGCATAATGTTGTCAAATTTAGAATTTTTACAGTTTAAAATAAACTTTGATCATCATTAAATATTTTTTAATGGAAAGTCTCTTAGCATTTTGGGTTAGACCTTTCTTTGTTACAGAGAATTATCCAGTGCATTGTAGGACATTTTGTATCCTTGCCCCATTGACATTAAATGTCAATAGAACACCACACCACAATTGAAAAAAAAAAAGACAACTACACTAATTCTCAAATTTCCAGTGCCACTGCTACTGGGGTAGACCAAATGTGGGTGAAACTTTCCTCATTATTTTAGTTTGTATCATTCTAGCTTTTTGAGTTGAATAATTACCTCATTGATTTTCTGATTTCTTGTTATTCTTATTTGTTAGCAAATCATCTAAAGTCATGAGTTCCTCTAAGTAAAACTTTACCGGCATCCCACATTTATTTATTAAAAAGTATTAGAATTGTATATATAATAATCTTAAATATTTCTTGTAGCTTGCTTTGTAACCCACAAGTTATTTGAAAGTATTTTCCCTAAAATATGGGAGACTATGGTTGCTCTTTAACTTAATTGCATTATAGTCAGAGAACCTATTGCATATATCAATTTGGTATATTTTTGTGATTCATAGTGATGGTGGTGGTGGTGACTTGTATACTCACATTTAGTCAATGTTTGTGATTGGTTCATTTGCAATGTAACTTTCACCAAACAAATAGAAAATAAACAACCTTCTTGAAATTTAGCTTCTGAAAGAAGTGCATTGAATTAACATAACTATGTATTATGGTTATTTTTAAAATTTTTCCTTTCAACTCACAATTCATACGTTGAGGCTGTAACATGGTGGCATTTGGAGGTGAGGCCTTGGGAAGGTAATAGGATTTGAATTAGATCATGAGGCTAAAGCCCCCATGAAGAGATTGGTGTCCTTACAAGGAAATGAAGGAACCAGAGCTTGCTCTGCTCCTTTCCACCATGTTATGTATAATATACATATATATATTATAAATGTGCATGTATATGCATATATATTTAAATGTGCATATATATTATATATTTTACATGTATATAAAATTGGAGTTTTTGCCAAATATTCTCACTGAAATTATTTATTATTTTGTAATGAATTATCATTTTCATTTTAATAACTATCATTTTGTATTAACTTTCATATCTATTAAAGCTTTTGAATTAAATTGAATTCAATTTAATATTAATGTTTCTAAATTATCTTTCTTTAGGTATGCATGGTCTTGGTATATTTTCTCCATCTACTGTTTTCAGACTATCCTATGTTTTTTGTTCTGTGTCTCTCTGAACAGCATATAGTCTGATTTGTTTGGTTGTTGTTCCAGCTTATATAATAATTCCTGTTTTTTTGAATAGGAAAGCTTATTTAATTTACATTTATTGTGGTTATTCATATATTTGTCTTCATTTATTTTCTTTCACTTTTTTCCTTCACTTAAAATACCACTAGATTGATCAATTTTATAAATACCCTCCTTTTTTTTTTTAAGTTCTACTCATTTTGAATTTAAATATTTAATTTCTCTGCTTATAATGGTAAGTCTTACATGGTTTAACCTTTATATGTTTTAACATGTAAATCTAAAAATGTATAACGCTACTCATTACTAACCTATTTCATAATAGTCAAAAGCTTCAAGATTTTATAACTCTGTTTTTGACCTTCTGTCTTCAATGTTATTGTTCAATATTTTAATTTATTATATTTTGATTCCCCAAATTAGTTTTATATTTAGCACTTATTTAGACTTTCTAGCATACCTAAAATTGCCTCTATTTCTTTGTGAGTTCAACTTCTTTCCTGGTGGAAAAAATGGGTTAGCCTATGTTTTACTGAGTATCTATGATTAGCAACTTTTTTTTTTGGTGGCTGTTTCATAATGATAATTCAGCTAGTAATAAAAGTTTATGTTACAATTTCTTCTTTCTCACTGCTTAAAAATAAGATCCATCATGTCTAATTTCTACTTTACCTGATTTTATAATGACTGTTTGTATAATTATTATTGCTTAGTTGGTAATTACTAATGCCCAATTTAATTTAGGATTTCTTTCTTACTTTGATGCTTGGTGGCTATAACACATGAAGTGTTTGTATGCATCTGTTTTGATTCATCAACATGAGGACTTATCTAATTTCTCAATTCTAAAAAGTTCTCAACTTTTCAAACAGTGCTCTTGTCATTATTTTTTCCGTGAATTCTTACGAAATATCTGATAGATATTTTTATCTTTTTATATATCTGTATTTCATTTAAAATTGTTTCTTACATGTATCTATGGCAATATTTTACTCTTCAGGCTGGTATTATCAACTCTATAACCCCTCTACTTTATTTTATTTACTTGATTATGCTCTGATTTTTACATTATTTTAATTAAAAAATATGACCATTATTTTCATACAACACCTTGATTTTTCTTTTTTTCTCCCCTTTGAATATTTTCAGCAGACTTGTCAAAAATGTCTTTTAGATTTTCAGTTTTCTGATGCAAGTTTTTTGGTTAGTTAAAACAATTGACACTTTCTCTTTGTGCCTAGTACCTTTGTGTGTGCTTGATATTCCCATGATACATTCTTCGTTGCTATTTGTTTAAAAAGTGTATTTTCCATGACCTGAACTGCAGAACTGTTATTACAAGACTATGCCCTGTATTCTTATTAAATATATATGGGCTTTATTTTAAAAAATATTTTTACCTTCCTATGTTTCATTTAAAAAGTAGAAGACTCAGAATACCTAAAGTAGTATTCTGTAGGTTTGGGGAAAGAGACTTTATCTTACTTTCTTAGATTAAGGTCTCCAGGATAATTTGAGATGGGTGTGTTTTGACCAAATATTTGTGTATGATATAATCCACCCATGGCTCATGATGTACTACTCTAAGCTCTCCTACAATGTTCTAGGAGATATGAACTTTCCTAGTTCTATTTCATGGCTGATGTAGGATTTTATGATGTCCAGTTTTATTCAGGTATTTTTGTTGCTATTCTTCATAGACATAAAGGATTGAGGATTAGATTCTCTTCTTTTAGCAAGTTGAAAAACTCCAGTCACCAGCTTGTGCTGCTTATATTTTGTGTACATTACCCCCATGGGCCATTTAACCTTCAAATTTTACTTAATTTTTCATATTTTTTATTTATATAATTTTTAGGTTATTATGCTTTGGATTTGAGTTCAACTAGGCATAAAATGTTTGTTGTGTGGATAATATATCCAACATTTAATGTTTTGGGGTCAGGGGAGTGGTTCTTTCATATTTCCATAGTTCCTCATATTGACTGCACTTCAGTGTATGCCCTACATTGGGAGAACAGCCACGTTGTACCCTTCCCAGAGGTGGAATGAAACCTCCACTTAACATTTAGTTTGGATGTCTAAACTGAAGATACCACATACATTAAAGGGAGTAGGAAAGAATTATGACTCACATAATGATTCTTGGGAGAGAAGGCAGGCTGCCAAGCAGATTCAAAAGTGACTGAAGAGATCAGGAACTAGCATGGAGTTGATGGTAGTTAAGGAATGGGTCTGAGTGAAGGTACCTCTTTTTTTTTTTTTTTTTTTTTTTTTTTTTTTTTTTTTTTCTGAGACGGAGTCTCGCTCTGTCGCCCAGACTGGAGTGCAGTGACGCGATCTCGGCTCACTGCAAGCTCTACCTCCTGGGTTCACGCCATTCTCCTGCCTCAGCCTCCTGAATAGCTGGGACTACAGGCGTCTGCCACAACGCCTGGCTAATTTTTTTGTATTTTTAGTAGAGACGGGGTTTCACCATTTTGGCCAGGATGGTCTCCATCTCCTGACCTCGTGATCCGCCCGCCTCGGCCTCCCAAAGTGCTGGGATTACAGGCTTGAGCCACCGCGACCGGCCGTGAAGGTTCCTCTTAATAGGACAAGGATTGCATGATTTGAACTCACCAGCATTAAGGTAGAGAGTACCTGAGCTTTTTTAAATAGCTTGCCCAGCTGTGGGGCAGAATGGGGGCAGGAATGGTAGGGCTTAGAAGCTGGCAGTAGTCAAGTATTAAAAATGAAATCAGACACTATTACTATTCTTTACCTAAATTTGTTTCTTTACATAGTCATTTTGTAAATGAAAGAGCACTTTTAATCTGCCAAAGACTAAAGATAAAATTGTTATAATATAATGTCCATTGTTAATTATGATTAGAATTTCTGTTTGTTCAAATTTCTGTTAAAAATATTGATGTATCTTTTTGAAATTACTTTTATGCCATCATTGTACCTCAGTATATGTGGCGATAAGTAGAAAGGTTGAGAGAACATCTCATAGCCTTATCTAGTGTTGTGTCTATCTAGTTTAGTAAGTTTGTTAACAGTGGCATACATAGTGCATTTGAACTTGGGTTGTATCATTTCTTTCCCACCACCATCATCTAAATGACAAAACTAATTTTCATAATAACCATGTGATAATCATTAATAATCATTATTTTCTGGACTCATTTTTTAGTTTTAAAAAAGCAACTGACAACTGAAAATGAAGAACATAATTTATTTTTTGAAAATATCCAAACTGAGTAACATATTTTATGTATGAGCTAAAATTTTCACCTATCAAATTTTAAATATGAATAAAAATTTCAGGCAGTTACGTCAAATAATAGAATTGAAGTAACTAAAATTCAGTTTTTAGTCTTTACAATCACTGAGATATTGTTGCTTATTTTGAATAGAATATTCAAACACAGTCATATGTGATATCTACTATCACAAGGATAAAGACATAGACTATGACTGAAGTGATGTCAAAAAACTTCCAATCATTACAACTGTCTCTTGAAATGAACATGTGTATCTCAGTCTGTGTGTGCCGTGGGCCAACATTAAAACTGAAAAATTTTTAAATTAATTTTGATGTAGAATACAATGTGTATTAGATGATAAGAAATAAACACTGCACTAATGTGGCCCATTTTAAGTATATAGGTTTAGATAGATAAATAGATATATGGGTGGATAAATAGATAGATATCAATAGTAATTTCTGCAATTATTTAGAACTGATGGGGTGGAGGAATGTATTTTTTAACTGACATTATTCCAAAATGCTGACGCATTATGTTAATAAAAAGCAGACCTATTTAATAAGTTTTAGAATTTTGTTTGAATCCCCTCCCAACAATGCATTGTCTTACTGCATTTACCAAGGGTGAACCACACCTACCACCCTACCTTTAATTTGGTCTTGTTTGACTCTAGATATAACTTTGCCTTCTGAAAAGTTGGAGATCCTTATTACATAATTAATATAATATATTTGATCTCATATCCCCATGACGAAAGAGGTTAGCTGATATATATACTATCCATGTATACGAACAAAAAGTTCTCTGAATAATGATTTCAAGATGTTATAATGTTGTAGGTAACAACAGAGGGTGAAAATTAAAATAGATAGAACGTATTTTAATTGAAAATTATAGAGTAAATAGTAAATTATAATTTACTCCAAAACTCATAGGATTTAAAAGATTTTGTGGACAGTTAATTTTATTTCCCTTTGTACATCACACAAATGTGCTATTATTTTTACAGCCACTTTGGATGAAATATCTTTACAGTTGATTTAGGTGAATGTATCTAGTGGCAGTGTAGAAATATGGAAAAATCTATACCATGGTACCAGAAGTCATATGTGGTTGACCAAAGTTGGCCAAATAAAATATATAATTGAATTATGTATAAATTGTGAATTAAGAGTCTGAGTTTTTTAACTATGTCATAGACTGATGAAGACTGAGCATAAAAGCTCAGATGTTTGAAGCAAGAATAAAGTAAGGATACATGTCACCTTAAAAATATCAGTAGCTTCTAAACTGGCATTTCATATCTGTAACTGCTTACTTCCAATTGACATTTATAATTATTTTATTTTTAGTTAATGACCACTTTGGATTTATAAATATATTTCCAAATAAGCAAACAATTATACTTTTCTATTGATCTTCTATTGGCATATTATGAATATATCTGTTGTTAATAATTTGAAATAAAGTTTTCAGACCAGATGAAAGACTTTTCAACTGATATGAGAGATATTTCCAAATTAATAGATTCCTATGTCTCTTAAAAACTTAAGTTTTCCTTTAATTTCTATATATAGAGAAAATTTTATCTTTAATATATTTGTCTTTCAGTGATGTTATTCAAAGGGAGAATATATTTAAAAGAGAATGTATAATCGAAAAAAGGTTGGGAGGTTCTAAATTAATGACTCAATAACCATGCTAGTTATAGGTCTGTTTAAACTTTCTAGTTTTTCACAATTTAGTCTTGGTAGTTGTATGTTTCCAGGAATTTATCCATTTCTTTTATGTTAACTAATTTGTTAGCATATAATTCTTCATAATGGTGTCATATGATCCTTTTTATTTCTGTGGCATCAGTTGTAATGTATCCTCTTTTTTTCCGATTTTGTTTATTTCTTTCTTCTCTCTTTTTCTCTTAGTCCAGCTGTGGGTTTGTCAGTTTTGTTTCCTTTCAAAGAATCAGCTCTTCTTTTTTATTTTTTTCCTGTTGTTTTATATTTTGTTTATTTCTGCTCTAATCTTTGTAAATTTTTTTCTTTCTTCTGGCTTTGGGCTCTTCTTCTTTTTCTAGGTCCTTGGTGTCTAATGTTAAGTTGTTTATTTGAGATCTTTATTCTTTTTTAATGTAGGTGTTTATCACAATAAACTTCCCTCTTAGTATCACATTGGTCATGGCAGTGATTTCATGGATATGACACCAAAAGTAAAGTCAACAAAAATAAAAATGAACAAGTGAGACTACATCAAACTAAAAGCTTCTGTAAAGCAAAGGAAATAATCAACAGAGTGAAAAGGCAATGTACAGAATGAGAGAAAATATTTGCAAGCTATATATCTAATAAGGGGTTAATCTCCACAATCTGAAAAACTCCTATGATATGGTTTGGCTGTGTCCCCACCCAAATCTCATCTTGAATTGTAGATTTCATAATTCCCATGTGTCATGGGAGGGACCCAGTGGGAGGTATTTGAATCATGGGGATAGGTCTTTCCCATGATGTTCTCATAAAAGTAAATAAGTCTCACAAGATCTGATGGTTTTATAATTGGGAGTTCCCCTGTACAAGCTCTCTTGCCTGCACAACGTAATAAGTGACTTTGTTCCTCATTTGCCTTCCACAGTGATTGTGAGGCCTCCGCAGCCATGTGGAACTGTGAGTCAATTAAACCTCTTTCCTGTATAAATTACTCAGTCTCAAGTATGTCTTTATTAGCAGTGTGAGAACAGACCAATACATCCCTACAACTCAATAGGATAATAAAACTAATAGCCTGATATTTTAAATGGGCTAAGGACTGGAAAAGGCATTTCTCCAAAGAAGATGTACAAATGGCAATTGGTTTATTAAAAGATGCTCAACATCACTAAACATTGGGTAAATTCAAATCAAAACCACAATGAGATATCACCTCATGTTGTGCACTATTGGAGGAAATGCAAAATGGTACTATTTTTAATTTTTCCTCAGAAAATTAAAAATAGAAATGTCATATGATCCAGCAATTCCATATCTGGGTATTTATTTAAAAAAACTGAAATCACCATCTCAAAGAGATTATCATCACTCCTATATTCATTGCAGTGTTATTCAATATAGTCAAGATGTTGAAACAACATAAATGTCTGTTGACAGGTGAATGGATAAAGAAAATGTAGTAGGTACATACAGTGTAAAATTATTCATCCTTAAAATAGAAGGAAATTCTGCAACATGAGGCAGCATTGATGAACCTTGAGGACATTATGCTAATTGAAACAAGTCAGTCACAGAAAGATAAATACTGCAGCATTTTACTTATATGAGGTATCTAAAAATAGCTAAACTCATAGAATTGGAGTAAAATAGTCATAGTCAGGGGTTGAGGTGAGAGAAATGGGGCATTACTAATCAATGTACATGAAGTTTTAGTTAAAGATGAGTGAGTTCTAGAGACCTGCTGTACTCCATTGTACATGTAGTCAACAATACTGTATTGTACACCTAAAAATTGTTAAGAGAATAGAACCCATGTTGGGTTCTTACCACAATAAAATAAGATATTTTTTAAATGAAAAAAATTCCACTAGGAAATTAATTCATATACATGTGCCCATACATAACATTTATAAAATCCAAAAACATCTGAAATCTTAACATGCATTTCTCCCCAGGGAGTTTATGTAAGAAATATGGACTTCTACTTGAACATTATACTTCATTTAACTTTCAGTTTAAAGAACTTTACCACTTTAAAGAAATGGTGAGAAATTACTGTAAATAAAAAAAAATTGCTGAGGCAAAAAGCTCAAATTAATGGTTGTCGGGGCTGCAGAGACAAAAGAATTGAGTAACTGCTCATTGGGCACAGGTTTACCTTTGAGATGATGAAAATGGGAACTGCATAGAGGTGGCGATTGCACAAGACTGTGACTATCCTATTGCTTCTGAATTTTCCACTTTAAAATTATTAATTTTATAAAGTTATATGAATTTTAATTAAATTATAAATATTTTTATAAAAATTGAAAAATTCACAATCTGTTACTAGCATTCTCTTTCATTATGAATTACTTTTATCATTTATTTTAGAAAATGTTTTTCATCAACTACAGTTTAAAAATTATTTTTCAACAATAACACTTTAAAGTGTTTTTTATATTTTCCATATATTTCATATATGCAAGATTATTTAAGCACATTTTTCTTCTAATTTATATTACCAATGGGAGCTTATAAAATGTGTGCTAGGTGGACTTCATAAGCTTTATAATAACAGAATTTTAATGGCAGTGAAATTAACTCATGACAATTCTATTTTGTCCTTTTAAGTTCACATATTCTTCAAGAAATTAGGAGCCATTTATTTCAAGAGAAAGGTTCAAATCTTGATTATGTACATTTCAGAATAAGTATAGCTTCCCAGATTAAGAAATTTGTCATATTGAAATCAGAATTGAGAAACTGAAGATTATTTCTATTTTGAAGCAATTTATTCACTTTACAAAAACATGTTCCTTTTAATGTATTAAATGAGTGATCGTGTTGATTTATATAGATGATTATCACCTACTTATGAGTAATATGAACATAAACTCATATCATAAAGGGATAAGAGTTGATTTTTACTAACGCAGGAAATTCCTAATGTCAGATTTGTTTTGCAAAATTTAATTCAACTATAGCATTGCATAGACATAGGTAGAGTATAAACAAAACATACCCATTTTTGCAGGTGAAATGAAGTATGTTAAGTATTTCTGTATAGTACTTACCAAATCTTTACCTTTACTAAAAATCAAATTATGGTTTGTAGCCTTCGATTTTGACTGTATGCCTTCAGAGAAACATCAGTCAGATTAATATACAATGACCAACTATCTTAGTTTAGGATCCCTTATAAACAGAGCTAGTGACAAGGACCTGGGCGCAGTTGTTTTATTTGAAAGGTGATTGCAAAAATCAGGAATAAGGCAACAAGAAGAGTAAAAAAAGGCAAGGAGGGAAGAAAAGCTAATGCGAGAAGGCATAAACAAGCTTCCTGAGGTGAATTTGCCAGAACTATCTGTGAATTGTTCACCCGAAGGATGGAAGTCTGTTTTCATTGGCTTCTTCTTCCATTTGAGGGTTGCCGCTAAAGATGTAAATTATCCCACATTGCCAGGCTGTGCTTGTACCCAGGCTCAGTGGGCTTCCACAGCATGAGAGGAGGCCCTGGATACAAAACACAAATCTGAGCAGCGTGAACTTGAATGGAACACTGTCAGCACATGGTAAATCTAAGCTCCTCCAGAACATGGGTCCATGGAGCTGATCAAAACCAGAGGCAACCCAAGATATTATACTGCAGGATTCCAGCACATCTTGCACTGGACACATCAACTCAGGAATGCTGTGGGAAAACATTTCTTCCTACCTTAATTTATTATCTTAAGCAGCTGACTTGTACAGACACCATGTTAAGTGATTTTGACATATTTTCTCTCTCAGCTTTTTCTTATTTATGTTTTATGGTCACCAAGATATAGCTTAATACACCATGGTAGTAATATAAAAATATTCTATAAAACTGTGGGGTATAAAAGAGATAATTAACTTTCCCAGATGCCCACAAATTTCTCAGGTGTAAGGGTCACTATTTATTGAACTTCCAAGGACATACATACATTTTCTCTTATTATTCAAAAATGATGTTACTAATGGAGATTGTTCTCTCAGTGACTGAAAAGATGGATGTGTGACTAATGGTCCTTTCCATCCTCCATAAATGCATACACTGTCCTTCAGCTATGACTTACTGTGACTGGGGCTATTTACAACCATGTCTCTTCCACTCACTGTCTTTCCAACACCTTTACTGAAATAGAAACACCCCATTTTGAATTGCATTGTGTAGTGCTAAATTGACTTTGCATTAAAAATAAAAAATTCTCTTTTAAAGAGAGCCCTCTTTAGCTTCCATTCTAGTGCCTAGAGACATTAACCTGTACATACAAAGGAAAGGATAAAAAGGGGGTGAGAGGGGGAGGTGCTTTTCCATCAAATGCATAGAAAGCATCCAATATTTTAAAATCATAGATGTTTCATATATTACTTACATTACTGTTTATTTTGGTCTGTGTTTTCTCACTACTTATTGTGTTCTTAGATTTTTAACTGTTATTAGTATAGAATTATTTTGCAAAAAAACTGATGGAAGTCTACCTCTTGGTTCAGTTCTCTCTGGCATGAATCCTCGCAAGATTTATGCCATATCAATCTTTTTTTTTTCTATGTCATCACTTGCCAAATCTTTTGGGGTTTTATTTTATCACAAATCTCTGGTTTCTATCCTGTCTTTTCTGGTCTTATTACCACCACCTAGCCAGATTTTCTTTCAATATTTATTATGTATATCTTATACACTAGGCATTGTATTACATACAGTACACTCCTAAATTATTGCACACATGTAGATGCCTCTTACTTGCTTATCTAGACTTTTTTGGCTTGAAGTAACATGAAATTATTTAGACTAGTTCCAAATCAATACAAGATAAATAGCTAAGATAGAGAAGTATCTCAGACTATCCAGGAACAGTAAGCTATATCAAGCCATAAGAGGAACCAGAACAAGAGCTAGAAATTCATCAGAAACTCAGGCAATTACTACTTTAAAATGATGGATGCATTAATGTGAATTCCCCACATGCATATTTACCCCTTGAGAGGCTTAGCAGTCCAGTATCTCAGAAGTCCTGTGACTTTTAAAATGGCAATTAGCTTAAAATGTACATTTTAGTTAGTACTGGGTGGAAAACTAAAATATGGCTTTAGGATCTTCCTCCACCTTCAGGCAATATATGTGGGTTATAATAATGGTATTCTGAGTACAGAAACCTAGAAGTTGTCCAATTCAAGGAAGTGACTCCAATCTTGGAAATTTCAGATTAAGTCAAAAGGAAAGGTAACATATTAGTCTAAGGCAAAAATATTCTTGGACAAGATAAGCCTCAGAGTGCCTTTCTAAATCACACTTTCTCAATGTCAGCTCACATTTTGTACGGCTTGATAAGTGCTGATGAACAAAAGTTCAGTGAAAGGATTCATGCCATCCCACCCCAAGGTGTTGGAGATGTGAGGACCGATTATTCAAACTCTCATTGGCATGAAAGCCAAAATATTCCCAGAGAATTATCTGGTACCTAGATGTGGAGGCTTTACACTGTAAAAATATTCTTCCCATGAGTAACCTTGATGAACTCTCCTGCTAAAAGACAGATAGACGAGGCCACCCAAGCTTTACTGGCATCAACAGGTATGTGCCCTACTGGGCACAAAGACAGGAAGGGTGGCTAATGTGCTTAATGGGCTAGATGTATCACATCTAGGGTGATCCCGTTGAAATGATCTTGCTCAAATAGTAATGAATCTGAGGACTTTCAAGGCATGGACATGCTCGCTCTCGCTCTCTCTCTCTCTCTGTCTCTTTCATTCACACACACATACACACATATATACAAATGTGAATTGCTGAATCATCTCCCTTCTTTAAGAAGATGCATACTTGTGATAATACCTTAAGAATTCTGGTAGGCATAAACTAACATCATTCTGGGAAGGGGTAGAAACTAGGAATAAAACTGACATTATTTTGGCAAAAAGCCTCTCTTTTTGAGTTGCTGCAGGCAAAGAGGACCTGAAGAGCTGCAGCCATCTGGGAATTGGACTCAGTGGGCCATGTTTTTCCAGAGAGTGCAGTGTTCTTTTCAAAACTCTCAGTAGGTAAGTGCTGCTTGTAGAACCTAGAGGTTTTGTTTCTGTCCATGAATAGCTGTCTTACCTCAGGTTCTGATCATCTGAGGGATCTCAGGGGAATAGCTCACTGTGTGAACATTGCTCTTTGGAATGCCTGGGGAACCAAAGACTTCAATGGGCCAGTAACACACTGAAGACAGTTAGAAAATCCCATCCGTTCTCTGCACTAGAAAGTATAGCCTGAAACAACTATAATACTTTCTTACTTGAAATGTGAACTCATGAAAAGAACACATTGACTATAGTT
This sequence comes from Homo sapiens, assembly GCF_000001405.40. NCBI lineage: Eukaryota > Metazoa > Chordata > Mammalia > Primates > Hominidae > Homo > Homo sapiens. The sequence continues at coordinate 95,985,802 of NC_000004.12, read as the reverse complement.
ATTTAAAGAATAACTGCATGTTTATGTTTCCTTGCTTGTGCCCTAAAGTCACCAATTTATATGAAGTTCCTAGCCATTGAAATATTATGTTGGTGCAAAAGTAATTGCAGTTTTTGTCATTAAAAGTAATGGCAAAAACCACAATTACTATCACTTGTCTTATGCTTAACACTAAACTATGGCACTGAAAAACCCTCTAAAATAATTTCTTAGGACAGTTTTCAAATGGATGTAGAATATTTGCATATTCTTTATTTCAAAAAGCAAGCCCTGTGTTAATTGCCTTCTCTAAAGAGCATTTGAGCATCTTTTCTAAGCAGAGTGATTCCTCACATAAATCATATGGACAGGCTTCACCACTCTGCTCCTAGAAATGAGGCACTTTGATATCGATATCTTAAATGGCAGTGGTTAATTAACGAATAGAAATTCTGTCTTTTCAAAAGGTTACCTTCTCTCGATAGCTCCAAAGCTCCCTAGTGAGTTTTTCTTAGTATCTGTTCTCTTTTTCGCTGCCTGTAGCTTCTCATGGGAACTCACAGGTGCCTCTCAAGGTCAAACTCAGAACCCACTAGTTTCCTTCTTTTGATCCACTCCTGCTCACCACAAAACCACCACCTACTTGCTTCAGTTGCATCAAAAAACTGCACTGAACTGTCAAGGAAGAATTCAGGTTCAGTAGAAGCTTCCACTACCTAGAGACTCAGAAACCCAACACCAATTTTGTTGTAGTTACTAGAATCTCTTCAACTCCTATCTGGCTCAGAAAAGAGATGGTCTACATAGACGAGAAGGAACTATTTCCTACCTCTATGCTAATGCTTGTGATATGTACAGGAGGCAGGGAAATACTAGGTAAAAAAGTTGGGGTCCCTGGCAAGGGTTCCACCCTCAATCCTGGACTTGGGGCCCTAAATGAGAATGTCACATTCCTGTTTTCCCACCCAAATGTTGCCTTTTGGCCCAACATGCCCCTATCCTGTGCCCATAAAAAACCCAAGCTTCACTGGCAGAGGAGCAGAGCAGCGTGGCAGAGAAGGAGAGAAGAAGCATCTGAATGTCAAGAGAAGAGGCAGCTGGACATCAGAGTCTGTGGTCGGAGAGGAGATCGGCTGGGGATGGTTGGCTATCACCTACCTCAGACCAGGGGAAGGTTATCTTCCCACTCCATCCCCTTTTCAGCACCCCATCTTCCTAAGAGCCACTTCTATCACTCAATGAAATCATCATTCACAATCCTTCAAGTCCATGTGACAAGAACCCAAGTACCAAGAGGGCAGGGTATAAAAGGCTGTCACTCTGACCCTCTACTGAGCTGGTTAACACTTAGATATCTGCAGAAGGCAAATGCTAAAAGAGCATTGTTTGTAACACACGCCTTCTGAGGCTCCAGGGGTTTCAGGCAATCCCTAGACACTGCTGCGGGCCAGTACAGGATTTGTTCCTGCCAGTGCCCAAAGGCACTCGCCCCAGCTCCTGTTTCCACTCATCTGCATGCTCCACCTCTTGCAAGGGGTTTGAGCATGGCAGCTGAGTAAACAAGCCACACCCCTGTCGCAAGTCCCACGAAGGGTTCGAGGGAACTCTTTTATCTCACTTGGTCATGGGTATTCCACAGAAAATTGGCTGGGGTCCAATTGGTACAGTTGTTTAAATGTCCAGCTTTTTAAAATTGATGAACATTCAGGTAGTACCCCCATGTATAAGCCTTGTGCAAGGAAAATAGTAAAGTCTCAGAACCCCAAACTCACTATGCCAAAGGTAAAGTTAAGCTTGGGAATGAGTCATGCAAAAATGACCTTCCTTTTTTCCTAAACAGCTCCAAGAATAAAAGGCCACATATCTTCCCAGGGGTCCTCCCTCACTAATTGCTCATAAGGAAATTTCTTATCAGCTTCAAAATCTTTACCGTAAACCAGAGCTCCGTTGAATCTCACCCTGACAATGCAAGTGAACAGCTTACTTTCACAGGTACAGGACAAAGATAGGACTAAAAATCATCCCTCAACCTACCCCAAGACAAATGTATATTTTACTTCTTCCTCTATTCTATGTCAAATTTATCTTATGTAAAATGCAGATTTACTGAGTGCCAGATAAATGCATAATTGACTCACTCCTTCCCTTCCTGCCACTGTTTCCTCTTTAAATATTGAAGTCCTCAAAACCCTATCTGGAGAAAGCACAGGCCACAGATTCTACTGAAACTTGTGTTTCCCATGCACCTCCTTGACCTTGGTGAAATAAACCTCTAAACTGATTGAGATCTGTCTCAGACACCATTTGGTTTACAGGCTCAATGATTTCAGGGCTGATATGAATGCCTACCAATTGCATTCTAGGTGCAAAAAGACAGGGTCCTGTTGCTGTGTCTAACAATTGAGCCTCGGTCACGTCCACCCAACCTCTAAGCTACACGTTGTTTCTGAGAAAAGAGGGGCACTGTTCTGTTCAGCAATCAGGACTCAGTCAGATCTACTCCAGTCAACAAAACTCATACCACATCACTGAATCCCAATAGGTAAGGGGGTAAGGGTGGGTGAAAGAGAAAACACAAATTTCTGGAAGCAAATAGGTATTTAGGAAGGAAGGGCACCACCCCAAACATGCAGTACTAACTATCCAATTTTGACAAATATTGGAACAAAGAGTGACAGCAAGACCTCTTACTTAGAGATTCTGAGCAACAGACCACAAATACAAAGAAAATATCTTGTTACAAATGCTTTTAACTTTGCTTTGTAAAATTTTTCTGAATGTCTACCTCCACTTATTACAACTAAAGTTCTACAGATAGCATGCCATTTCCACACTAAAAGAGCTCCTGCATTGCAAAATCATTAATTTGCTTTATTTATTCTATCTGCTTGCCCAGATAGCTCATTATGTATCTATCTGAAGATTTTATAGATTAACATAGTTTTATGAATCTTTACATCTATTCTATAATAGTCTGAACATAACCTTTAATTTTTTCCAAATGCAATAGCAATTTAATGGGCTTCCTATTGTGCTTAATCCCTTTGTTCTCATATAATGTGGAACGCACTTAAAATGCCTGTCTGCCCTTTCATTGAATCCAGAGCTATTCATAATGTGATTTCTTCCTTCATCCTTCTGCTCTGCCCATTAAGGAGTAGTGTATACTGTGTGAAATTACTGAATATTCAAGGAAGAAAAGCATAATTATTTCTGAAGCTCTGTGAGAGGAGTTTATGCCCTTTACATCAGTGGTTCCCAAATCTGAATGATACACAGAATTACTTGTGGAATCTTTTAAAATTTTCCATCATTTGGGCTCCATCTTGATAGATTCTGATTTAGTAAATTCAAGATTATTTTTTATAACTGAGTTAATTCTCATGCTTAGGACCATTGCTCTCCCCGATAATAAATTCTGAGTGCTGTAATATACCACCCAGGCACCCAGGTTCCCCTTCAGAAATTGAGGACTTATTTCCACCAAATGCTGTGAATGCTGCTGGCCAAAAGGCCTAAGCTGCCACTCTTATAGTAATTGTTCAAGCTGAAAGGACTATTTCACCCAAAGGCATGTCATATCACAAGCACAAAGGCCCAGCCATTCCTCCCACTTGGAGACAACTGTGAAGGGTCATTTCAGCTTCAACTCCCCATTGAGATGGCTAAGGCCTGTAGTACCCCAGATCCTTCTGTTATGGGATCTTTGGGGTATTGACCTTTCTGGCCAGAAATCTCTGTGGCTGGTGGTGCATTTGCCTGCGTTTTGCTTCAACCTGCTGGGTTCATTCTGCCCACTCAACCTGACAGGCTGCGCTTGGCTCACACTACCCGTCTGGGTCCTATGCCTGCCAAGGGGGACTGTGTGGAGCGTCAAGGGGTGTGTGAGTGAGCATGGGGTCCAGCCCTGCTCAGTCAGATATGCTGGCTGCTACAGTGGGGCAGGCAGCTCCAGGTGCCAGCATGGGCACAGGCTCTCTGTGAGGCTGTGGCTAAACTAGGAGCACCACAAGAACCTTCCACAGCTGGCACCAGGGAACGCAGTGGCTCCCAGAAGCTTGGAGATGCTAGGAACTGCAGGGCCCCAAAGAGGCAGTCACAGCCCTGGCTGGGGGAGCTCCCAGGTCTGGTGTCTCCAAAGGGTTGCAGTTCTCCTTTCCTTCTCTTTGCCCACAACATGGTGAGCAAGGAGCATGTCTCAGCCCTGTTTGTGTTACAGCTCTTTCAATCTCACCATTCAGAGGTTCCTGAGTTATTGTCCTGCACCCAGGAAGAATGAGATACACAGACAAGTAGAGGGTGAGCAAGAGGAAGAGGAGTTTTATGGAGCAATAGAACAGCTCAGAGGAAACCCACAGCAGGTTGCTCCTTTCTGCAGCCAGGGTGTCCCAACAGTGTTCAGCTACTAGCAGAGAGGGTAGCTCCTCTCTGCTAGGCAAGTCATCCCAACAAGTGTTCAGCTATCGGCAGAGAGGATACATAACTCCTCTCTGCAGCTGGTCATCCATCATCTCCTCATCATCTCTCCATTGTCTCTGCAGCTCTCAGCAGAGAGGAAGCCCTAGAGTGGGTGGCTCCTCTCTGCAGGCAAGTCATCCTGTCATCTGTTCAGCTCTGGCTGAGCCCAGGGCTTTTATGGGCCTCAAAGAGGAGGAAGTACATGACAATTGATCCTTGGGCAGCCATGGGCAGGGCCAGAAAAGGCACCACAAGTTCCCACTCTGGTATGTGGGACTGACAGCCTGGCCCCCAGCCTTCAGGCCCTCCTGCCCTGAAGGTGGGGCCTCACTGGGGACCCATTTCCTCCCACCCAGGAGCCTGTCTGCCTCCTGCTGCCAGGCTGCTTGCACGAAGGGGCACCTGCAGGTCGGTGCCAGGCTGTCCTCAGCCCCCCATCAGCCTCCCTCCCATGCTTGTTAGTGCCCAAATTCCAGAGGGGCTGAGGCAGCAGGGGGCTGGTGTGTCAGCACTGCCCCGAGCATGTGTATCCCTGGCCAGGCTGTGACAACACCCAGGCTCAGCTCCATGTTGCTCCAAGTTTGGAGCAGGTGTTGACAGCAGAGAAAAGCCAGGCAGTAGGAGCAGGCACTTCACAGCCTGCAAGGTCTCGGTGTGGTGGGTGGCGGGGGGATTTCCCAGCCCCTAAGAGTGCAGAGAGACCCAGGTCCACAGCCCTGACTTGGGTGGCTGCAGCTGCACCCAATAGGGCAGGGCTGCTTCCTGCTCCCAGATCCCACTGGTTCCTTGGAGCATGCAGCCTCAGCTGCACTTCTCCTCACAGCCTGGGTCTGGGGCTTCAGGTCCTTGCTGGGCCTGGGCTGGCATCCTGGGCAGGAGCTACATTGCTGTGAGCTTCCCCCATGACACCAGCACTCAGGGACATCCTGAGGCTCCCCCGTGCCTGGCTCACAGACCTGCCCAGGGGGTACCTCTAGGAGCGGATTGTAGGCCATGGGCCCTGAACTCGGCCATCTGGAGTGTTAGGCTCTGTGGTCTCCCCAGTGCAGGGCAGACCCTGGAGATACAGTGCTAGGTGGCCCCGTGTAGAACCTCCTTCCAAGGCACAGGAACCCGACATCCTCATTGGGGTGGACACGGTGGCTGCCTTCCTGGCTGGGTCCCTGAAGTGGGCATTGCTCCCACTTCCTGCCCCAGGCCCCCGAAGTGCAGCCCCAGCTCTGCCTCACGGCCCCTCTCTGCTCTACCCCACTGCTCCCCATCTGGTGAATGACATGGCCCAGCCCTATCCTGGTGGCCCCCAGGGCAGCAGCCTGCTGGAGGCTGTCTTCCTCCTCCCTGTGGCATCCCCGCGGCAGCAGCATGATGGCAGCAGCCATTCTGGACAGCCCACCACTGCCATCACTTCCAGGTGTTGATCCTGAGAATAGTCCCTAATAAACCTCCTGCAGGCTGTTCTCCCTTTCACAATCAGCTTCCTGGGGCACCCAACCTGTGATACATATTATCATTAGAGTTTGAATGTCAAAAAAGGAGCCTCCCCTATCTTAAATTTCTCTTCAATCAGAATATAAACCAATTCCAAGAAGGAAACAATCAAACAATTTATCCCCTACCAACCTCCAAAGAAACCAAGCTGACTTCTCTGCTCCCTTTTGTCAGTCGCTAACTCATAGCTTCCTGCCTACCACTGTGCATTTCTTCCTACAATGAAATACCCTCTCCTTTATTTCTCTTATTCAAAACCACATTCCTCTTATTGCCATTCATGAGTACACTCATCCTTGAAGAAGTGTTGCCACCTAACTTTTTCAGCATGAAGCTATGAATGTGCCTGTAATCTGTCATATAATCATGGATTTCCTTATATATTGACTTGTACTCTATAGAGAATATGTGCCTAGACAGAAGAAACTGAGCCTTCTGTTTTGTTTTACGTTTGTTTTTGTTTTGCTTTGTTTTACAAAGTATGCCTGTTGAATGGCAATAAAGGTAAGACGATAAAGAATAATGATCAATGTTCTAACATAAGACATTGTTCTCTCTAGCCACTGATTTTACCAGGCTTTCTGAAAGATAAAGTGATGTACTTATATATACAGTCACACACTGTACTAAAAAGCAATCCTTCCTCCTAGTGTCATGACTTAACTGAAATGTTCAAAGTTTCATTATCTTTATTATAAAGTACCTGATGCTTTTTCTTTGAACGGGTTACTTTGACTTGTATATATGTTTGAACTAAAAGATTAATCTGTAATGTTTTAAATTATTTTGTGTGGTAAATTAATTTTGATTTCTGTAATGTGATAATGTAATTAGTAGTTCTCTTCCTTGATGTCTGAATTATAGTTTTCAGTTGTGTTTCTACAGTAATGTGCATTGTTGTTGAGTTGTGTTGTGTCTTGTTTGAAAGGATAAAGGAATGAATTTTTTTTTCTAAAAAAAGAAATAATCTGGAATTAGACTAAGATTTGAATCTTGAGTCCTGCTCATCATTGACTGGCTTTGGTACTTTGGAGAGTTAGTTACCCTCTCTGTGTTTTAGTTTACTTTGCAGTAAAACAGGGGTAAAAATAATGCTCACCATTTAGGGTTGTTGAGAGGGACGAATGAAGAGGTTCAGGAGATATACTACCAGGTGCCTGGCACATGGTAAATTCATGGTAAAGTTTACCTCTTGCCGAGACCAGCTGGGTCAGGGAGACCCTAACCCAGCGGTGCTAGAGGAATTAAAGACACACACCCAGAAATATAGAGGTGTGAAGTGGGAAATCAGGGGTCGCACAACCTTCAGAGCTGAGAGCCTCAAACAGAAATTTACCCACATATTTATTAACAGCAAGCCAGTCATTAGCATTGTTTCTATAGATATTCGATTAACTAAAACTATCCCTTATGGGAAACGAAGGGATGGGCCAAAATAAAGGGGTGAGTCTGGCTAGTTATCTGCAGCAAGAACATGCCCTTAAGGCACAGATCACTCATCCTATTGTTTGTGGTTTAAGAACGCCTTTAAAAGGTTTTCCACCCTGGGCGGGCCAGGTGTTCCTCGCCCTCATTCCGGTAAACCCACAACCTTCAGTGTAGGCATTAGGGCCATTATGAACATGTCACAGTGCTGCAGAGATTTTGTTTATGACCAGTTTTGGGGCCAGTTTATGGCCAGATTTTGGGGGGCCTGTTCCCAACAACCTCTTGTTAGCATTTGAAAACATTTCCAATATCAACAAGCCAGAACCCTGCATCACGGTTGATATCATATTTCAGTGCATATTAGAGAAGTAACCCAATCATAGTACTTTTATTTTTAACTCTCAGAAGTGGACATGGCTCAGGTCAGGAGAATAATATATCAAAGGAGCAATTAGCTGGATACTATGGCAGTATTCTTCTTATCCTTCCAGAAAATTATGTACGTTGGTTGAATCAGGTGTCTAAGCTAGTGGTTTTAAACCACAGTAATCATCAAAATAACTTGTAGAGATTTTTTAAAACATACTTTTCCATCTCACTTTGATATTTAAATTTAGTTGGAATGACATGAATCTGAAGTATCTGTATTTTAAAATTTTCTACAGATGATTCCTATATGCATTCAGGGTTGAGGCACAATGGTAAAACTGGTAGGTTAAAGACTATTGGCATTGCTAATTAGGTCATGGAGAAACATAGGTAAGATGATAGCTGGGATTTGAAATAGAATGTTCCCTGTGAAAGTTAAACATACATGGACATATAATGAATTAGGACAAAGAGGTAAATTCTCTTTAAAATGAAAGAATGGCTCCAAGGCCAAGATACAGCTGTACCTTCCTGAAGCCATTAACAACTTTTTTTTTTTTTTTTTTTGAGACAGAGTCTTGCTATGTTCCCCAGGCTGGCAGGACTCGGCTCACTGCAACCTCTGCCTCCTGGGTTCAAGCGATTCTTGTGCCTCAGTCTCCTGAGTAGCTGGGATTGCAGGTATGCATCACCATGCCTGGGTAATTATTTTTGGTATTTTTTTGTAGAGACAGGTTTTTGCCATGTTGGGGAGGTTGGTTTCAAACTCCTGGCCTCAAGTGATCCGCCTGCCTCGGCCTCCCAAAGTGCTGGGATTACAGGTGAAAGCCACTGTGCCTAGCCTTGAAGCCATGAATATCTTTAGAGAAAGCATGTATCTATTAGAAAAAGTGCTGATGATCATTGGAAGAACATAAAATGGAGAGTCATAGAAGAAGGACGTAATATTCTTCCAAGAATTATGCAAGAGAAAGGAAATGTTTACCAGGGACGTCAAAAGCTAGAATTATATTGGTAAAGAAATGCCTTTTGGGAAAATGAGTTTATATGTTATCTTAACCTGAAAATTCTTAATCTGTACTACAGTGTTCTAATTCTGTGATCATCCAGTAATCTTACTGATATTTGGCATGCTATAGGGAGAAGCATTCATGTTGAACTAATGTGAGTAGTTCTTCCAAGTAACAAAATTTTCACTGTAAACTAAGACATAGATATTCATGATGAATACGTAGATGGATATCGATCTCTTATGAACTTGACAAATCTAAGTAATAACGCCAGAATCTAATCAAGTTTAAGATACAGGCAAGGTGAGTTCTTAAGCCTAAAAAGCTGAGAAACAGAGCTCAAATGGTGGTAAATCCCAAGTTTGGAGCCCGAGAGCATGAGTTTCTCTACCCACCAAAAGACATTCCTCTGCTTTACAGTCACCAAACTTTGCTGCAAGAAATGTATCAGATTTGTCAAGTGACTTCCTGAAGCAATAGGAAAGTCTTTTCTCATTGTCTAATCCTTTAGGGCATGAAGTTTTGCAAAATGATTGCATATTTATAGCTTTTCTCCAATCTCTAAATTGGTCTTTTTAAAAAAACAGTTGAAAATACATTTTTTAAAACTTCAATAATGCTGTGTCTGACAGTGATGTGAGCAAAATCACTAACCCTGTCGCCAGTGAGCAACAAAGGAAACTGGTTTGATCGATCATGAAAAGTGTCAGTGTTGACTACATCCCACTATCTGAAAAGCCAATCTGTAAAGTGTTATCTGTAAAAGAAGCAAAGGAGTGCTGAAGAGGGGGAGAAAAGGAGCTGCAAAAACGCCATTTAGTACGTCCGTAGGTGACAAGTAACAAAAGACATGAAAAGTGAAAAAACATTTACCAATTTCTGAAATATTTGGAGAGTCTCTTCTTGAATAATCTTTTTTGGTAAATGTTTTCATAATAAAATAAGTAAAGGCAAAATTAAATAAAAATCCACAATTGAAAATATAAACTGAGGAAAGAAAAAAAGAGACATCTGAACTGAGGTTCAAAGAATGTAAATAAGAGAAATGTTTCAAATGGAAAAAATAAAAATTGAAGCAATTCTTGGTAAAACTAATGATAACTAAATCCCAAAGTCAAATGACTATTAAATTTGGGATGGAGAGGAGATAAAGCGCGATCTCGGCTCACTGCAAGCTCCGCCTGCCGGGTTCACGCCATTCTCCTGCCTCAGCCTCCAGAGTAGCTGGGACTACAGGCGCCCGCCACCACACCCTGCTAATTTTTTGTGTTTTTAGTAGAGACAGAGTTTCACCGTGTTAGCCAGGATGGTCTCGATTTCCTGACCTCGTGATCCGCCCGCCTCGGCCTCCCAAAGTGTTGGGATTACAGGCGTGAGCCACCGCGCCCGGCCAATCTTGTAGTTTTAATTAAAATTCATAAAGTTGGAAATATTAATGACTAGGATTCATCATTTGAATTCTTGGATAATAATAATTTGTCACATGAATTTCAGGGGTAGTTCTTTTTAAACTTTCTCATAGTTGAAAGAAAATGTATCATAAAATAAGAATATATGCAAACATAAAAATATATTTTATATATTAACATATTAATATATTTTTATTTAAAAATTGCTTTTATTAGACAATCATAGTGGGTCTGTGATATGCCACACAACTCCCCACTTTGAGGATTAAAGTACTCATTCCCCCACCTACTGCGAGAGTTGACAGCTAACAGTTCTCACCCCTTTTGGGGGGACTGCCATTATTTGAAGAGAGTCACTTTGCGCAAGTTCATGCTCCCTTCCCTGGGATGGCTTGGATCCAGTGACTAGCCACACAGGGATATAAAGGCTTGTATCCTTGCACCAACTTATGATACCCTTGCTGTGGTAGTCCAGCTCCAGAGCTTCTTGCTGGCATGGCTCTCTCACGCCTTTGTTGTGACTACACTAGGGTTCAACTTCTCCTTCTGCCCAGTTAAGCTTCCTACCCTTCCCCAACAGGTGCTAATCCTAGAAGAACTCCTTAATAAGCTTCTGCATGCTGGTGTCCAATTCAGAGTCTGCTGCCTAGGTAACTTGACCCAGAACCACAATTATCAAACAGATTAAACGACTCTAAAGTGGCCACTATATATTGGGAGGAAAGTTATGTCATCTGATTACAAAGCTAGGAAGTGGTGTCTTGTTGCTTACGATTTATCTTCCACATCCTATATAGCCCTTTACTTTAAAGAGCAGCGTTGGTTTTCAGAGTAGCACAGATATTGTGGTCACTGACGGATTATCCTCTCATTCCTATTTGATAAAATTATAGAGCAAATATGTTGTAAAAATGACACTTTAAAATAATCCTTTCTCAAAACCAGTATTATAAAGAAGGATTTCAAAGTTTGTGTGATCTCCTTTTAACACAGAGGAAAGAGGCAAAATGCAGGACTATTTTTAGCCAATTATGACTGTACAAATAACCCTCACATTACTTACTACAGATGTCTACTTTTAAAAGCAGCTATTACAAGGAGAAATCAATGCTACTACCCAACCTAATATTTTATTTTCTCCTCCCCAAGTTTTCTTCTTTAGTAAGAACATTTATATTTCAATTAAGCATCAGTTCTTTTAGGTATACTGTAGAGCTTTACACCTACATTAGGATGTCACAGTTGGAAAAAATGGTAGAAGAGAAACTTTCTGCCTATAGATGTGAAGAGTATAGAAGGTCAATAAGAAATCATCTCTTAATCTTCCAAATTATTTTCATATCAAATTTTGTATTTGCAACAAATGTTAAGCACTGAACAACATTGTACTTGATTTTACAACATTTATTGAGTGTGTATTATATACAAGACACCATTTTATGTGGTATATGGAATGTAAGGGGGTCGATATTCCAATGTGGGGGCATAAAACATATGCTTTATCAGCGAGATTGTGAAATAACTAGGGGGCTGTCTAAGGGGATTCAGTGAAAGCAGAGAATGTCATGTCACTAATGCTCCATGAGGATAATGCCATTTAACAGAAGATTGGAGGAACAGATTACACAGGGAGTGGAGAGAGTGGTCATTTCAAACCAGCATTGTAAGTAAAAGGGCATGAAAGTAGGAAGGAGTGAAAGAGATCTGCAAGGAAGGCAGAAATAGCCATTGTTATATTTCTACCTTCTCTCTGGAAGCTTTGATTAATCAATGTAATAAGCTACTCTTTTTCTTAGCATCACTTTAAACCCAACCTAAAGAGAAAACAGATAATAATATGAGAGCTAGCATAATTAACTCCACCAGTAGCAATGTCTTCAAATGCAAGATACGAAATCATCCCATTAAACATTTCTGGGGAAAGCAAAAGTGAAATTTAAAAAACTGAACCAGAAATACTTTTCTGGGAGTTGTAAGATATTGACAAAAAAGAATTTCTATGTATATCAAAAGGACTTAAGCCTGAAAATGCTAATGTAATATCTACTGAGATCTGCTCCTGGTGCTTTTGTTGGGTACTTAATAGTTATATTTCATATGGTTTTTAATTAAAATAGGCAATCTTTTATTCTAGTGGAGAGTTAAAACAAAATTAGAGTTTCTTTAAGCTCTTACATGATAAAGCAGACCTCTAAGGAAAAAATTTTACATATTTTTAAATCTTGAAAAATATTTTGGAATCATTTCATTAGTCATATCTGAAAATAAATTATATAAGGTAGACTAATGCTATTTCCTCATTTAAATATGAAAATAGCTGCAATAAACTAAAGTGACACTATTTATAGTATAATTTTAAGGCCTAGTTTAGTGGTCTATAGACAGAATAAGTGAATTATAATTTTAGATTGGAACAAAGATCTTAAGAAGCAACTTGCTGTAATACATTCTGGCATAATACTAACAAGGAAATAGTAAATTTGAAGAAAGCAAAAGGTGTTCAAACTGCAACTCCTCCCATTCACCACAGGGCAGTGGCTGTGGCTGACCGGCTATAGCTCATTATCTATATATCAGCTGCCCTTGTCCCTTTTAATCCTCAATGAACAGTGTGAGAATATTTCTGTTTAAACTGGCCTCAAAAGAAGCTGAAGGAAGTTACAGTTACAGTCTGTAAGAAAGACTATAAAATATGAAGAATGTCTGTCTCCATGTGTGCTACAGAAAATCTGACTTGGAGCTTTTTGAGGTGTGTCACAAAGTGTAAAGGAGTCTAGTCATGGCCTGTGTGGATAATGAGAGAACAAGATCAGACCTCCCACAATGTAGAGAGTGATTCCACTGTCCTCTACACACTTGAGGAGGGAGGCTTCAGCTCTCATCACCCACTGCCTGCCCACAGCACAAACCCACACTACATCATATGGATTTGCAAATATTTGATTAGCACCCAAGAGATGACAGGTACAATTCTGGGTCCTTAGTGTTCACTCAAAACTGAGAGAAGAGCGATCTCCTAGCTGGTACCTGGTCTAGTAGACAAGATAGTAGTTAAGCAAGTAAACTGATAGACAAATACATAATATAAAATATTTGTGAGTGCTCTAAAGGAAAAAAGCAGACAAATGGCATTTAAGCTGAGGCTTAATGGATAAGGAGCCAATAATTTGACGGTGGCTGAAGATCTTTAAGCTCAGAGGTAGCAGCTGCTGTGGATGCCTTGAGGCAGGAGGAGCTTGAGAGTTGAGACTATGAAAGGACATTGGATGGGGAGCATAGAATGTGAGAGAGAGACTCAGAGGCCAGCAGAGCCACATCATGCAGCACACGCAGCGAAACACAAGGTTGTTATTCTACTGCTATGGGAAGCCACATGTCATGCTCTGAGTATTTGTGTCCTCCTAAAATTCACATATTGAACTCCAAAACCCCAAAGAGATGATATTTGAATATGGGGCTTTTGGGGATGATTAGGTCATGAGGGCATAGCTCTCATGAATGGGATTAGTGCCCTTATAAAAGAGACCCCGCAGATATCCCTTATCCATTCAGTCATGTGAGGTTACAGTGAGAAGATGGTTGTCTATGAGGAAATGATCCCTCAGCAGACAGTGACTCTGCCTTGATCTTAAACTTCCCAGCTTCCAGATTGTGAGAAATATATATATTTCTGTTGTTTATAAACTACCTAGTTTATGGTATTTTGTTATAGCAGCCGAAGCAAACTAAGACACAATTCTAGGATTTTAAGGAAAGTGGCTGCCCAATCTGCTTGTATTTTAAAATATTATGGCCGGGTGAGGTGGCTCGTGCCTGTAATCCCAGCACTTTGGGAGGCCGAGGCAGGCGGATCACGAGGTCAGGAGATGGAGACCATCCTGGCTAACAAGGTGAAACCCCGTCTCTACTAAAAATACGAAAAAATTAGCTGGGCGTGGTAGCAGGCATCTGTAGTCCCAGCTACTCAGGAGGCTGAGGCAGGAGAATGGCATGAACCCGGGAGGCAGAGCTTGCAGTGAGCCGAGATCACACCACTGCACTCCAGCCTGGGTGACAGAGCCAGACTCCGTCTCAAAAAAAAAAAAAAATTTCCTGCTTCAGCAACAACAACAACAAAACACAAATTTTAAAATGGCAAGGGCTTGAATAAACATTTTTCCAAAGAAGGTGTACAGATGGCCAATAAGCACATGAAAAGATACTTATGGTCATTAATCATTAGGGCAATACAAATCAAAATCACAATGAGATAGCACTTCACACCTATTGGCCTATCATCATAAAAACAAAACCACAAAACAGCATTGGCTGGGATATGGAGGAACTGGAAACCTTGTGCATTGCTGATGGGAATGTAAAATAGCTCAGCTACTGTGGAAAACATTACGGCAGTTCATCCAAAAATTAAGCATAGAATTACCGCATGATCTGGCAATTCCACTTATAGTTAGATAATCAAAAAAAATGTAAAGGAGAACTCAAACAGATATTTGTACACAAAGTTCATAGCAGCATTATGTACAATAGCCAAAAGGTGGAAACAACCCAAATGTCCATCAACAGATAAATGATGAACAAAGAAATGAGGTAATGTGTGTGTGTGTGTGTATGTATAATAAAATATTTTAGACTTAAAAAGTAAGGAAATTCTGAAATATTCCATTACGTGGATGAATCTTGAAGACATGTTGTATGAGTGGAATGTTGTATGATTCCACTTATGTGAAGTACCTAGAGTAGTCACATTCATAGAGATAGCCCCTGATGGTTGCCAGGGGGTGAAGGAATGGGGAATGAAAGTCATTGTCTAATTATACAGAGTTTCAGTGGGGAGGATATAAAAGTTCTGGAGACGAATGATGGTGATGATTGCACAACAATGGAAATATACTTCATGCCACTGAACTGTACACTTAAAAATGGTAAAAATGGTAAGTTTTATATTTTTCATATTTTACTATGATAAAAATATATTATCTTTATCATAAGCTACCTCTAGAATTTTTAGGAAATCAAGAATATTAATTGTATCATTCAAATATCGTGTACCTCTATAGAATCTTTATTTTCTGGCCTATTAGTTGCTATACTGATTACTGTCTGCCAGTTTACTTAATATCTCTTTGTGTTATGTTAAAGGTATATATTAATATTGAATTTTGAATATTTCTAGTTGTTTAATTTTTATTTCAACTTGTTCTTGACTAATGAAGAGGTTTTATTTCACAACCTCCTGAGGATCTTAAACTGTGCTTACCTTAATTATTTACTTTCTTTTTCATTGCTCTGAGTATTTCTTCACACATTTATTGTGAGCTATAATTTTAAGTTAATTTTGTACCTCGCTTTTGAAATGTTCATATGTAAATTTGTTTTAAGTGGAAATTGGGTTTTTGTTTATTTTGAAATTTATTTTTCTTTCACTTTTCCCTTCTCCCAAGTCTGAGTATTTTATGGTTCCTTCAACTTAAGATTTTGGGGTCACTCAATTCCAAATAACATTTTATGCTGTTCATTTCAGACTTTCTAGCTCGTAGAAATCCTAGCCAGTTACACGGTAGCCCTGGCTCTCAGTATGCGCCTTTTCTGTTCTCAAGTTCTCTCCAGGCAAGGGCCTCTTCAAAGGCCACCACTCCAGGCAGTTATCCCAGTTCTTCTCACCTCTGGTGCACATTGAGAAGTCCTGCCTCAAATCCACTTTTGTGGACTAACCCTGGTTCCAGATCCCTAGCCATGTGGTCCCTCACAGGGGTTATCTGAGCCCCTTTGTTCTTCAGGAGTGAAATCCTGGAAAGCCATTGGCTTTTTCTTTTTCTGGGACTCTGCTTATCTCAATGTGTTTTTGTTTCTTTTCTGGCATATAAATATAAGATGTGTTGATGAAACAAGATAATTTCCTTGACCCCTTCATGGGATTCACAAAGGGGCTGGTTTGCTTACTCAGCCCACAGTTGTCAACCCCTCACAGGACCAGGAACACACAGGTGAGCAGGTACAGGGGCCAGGACATGTGCTTCTGGGCACTGGCAGGAGTAGAACTCTGTGCAGCCCTGGGGCACCATCTGGAGGGGGTACCCATGACCCCGGGAGCCCCAGAGGGCATGTGTGTTACAGTGTGCTCTTTTAGCTTTGCTGTCCGTGGATGGCTTAAGTGTTTCAGAGCTCAGTGGAGGGTCAGGGTGACAGCCTTTTTGCACCTGCCCTCTTGGTACCCAAGTTCTTGTCCAGCATCCAGGAAGAATCAGGTCACATGAATGGATTGAAGGATGTTAAATGTGGAGGATTTTATTGAGCAGTGGAAGTGGCTCTCAGCAGGAAGGGGAGCTGGAAAGGAGATGGAGTGGGAAGGTAGTCTTCCCCTGAAGTTTGGCCATACTCAACTGAACTCTTCTCTGAAGTTCTGCCATCAAGCCATCTCTCTAAAGTCAAGCTGCTTCTCTCTGATGTCTGGTTGCTTCTTCTCTTCTCCCCTTCTCTGCCACTCTGCCAGAGAGGCCTGGGGATTTTATGGGTACAGGATGGGGGTTGGGACGGACCAGGGTGGTTTTGGAAAAGGCAATATTCAGGTGGGAAAACATGAATGCCTGTTGTCACTTTGGACTGTGAGTCCAAATCAGGGTTCACACCAGGCTTGAGGGTGTGACCCTCACCAGGAACGATTCTCTTCTACCCAGTATTTCCCTGCCTCCTGTCCATATCATTTTGTTGTTATTGTTTATTTAAAATTTGTATTTAAAAAAATCCTACAGGTTCATATACAGAATGATCTGGGCATATACACAGGAAACCATAATGTTAACAGTGCTTATCCCTAGGTACATTATTGTAGAGATGAAGGAAAAACTTCCCTTTCACCCTCAGAAGTTTCACTGAAAAACCAACTCACAAAAGGCAGATTAATTAGAAAAAAGCCATAAAAATTCATTAATGTGCATGGGGTAGAATCACAGACAGTTGCCCAGTATCCCAAAGGGTACAGCTGCTGAAAGTGTGGATGATTTTAGGAGGGTAGTAAATGATTTTTAGGATAATTAAATATGCTTGAAAGCATTCAGTGGTCTGGGGAAAATTCTGTTGGGCCTGCAGAGTGGCCAATGCTTTGTGACAATAGTCTCTTTTGGTTTGTTGACAAACTTCAGCCTTTCTTCCTGGAATATGAGTTCAGTTAATGAAATCTCAAGGAAGGGAGGAGAAGTCATTACTTTCTTCTTTGGTAGGTCCAGAGTTTAGGCAAGTAAAGAAACTACAACAAACAACTTCATCCTGTCTTTGGGAGAGGTGGGAAAGGGGAAGCAAAAATGATTATTATTCTTAGTGGGTCCCTCTGGTCTCTTTACGTAGAGAGAGAAAAAGTCTTTTCCAGCATCTGTTGATCTCTAAGGGCCTTTAATTCAAAATACTCATTATACAAGGGAGCCATGTTTTGGGGTGAAGTTCCCTGTGCCCTTTCAGTATTCACACTGATTCCTATGTCTTCCAGAGACCAATCTTCCTCTACTTTCTGAGTCCTGGGGAAGTAAGTAGAAAGGCTGCAATGATATGGAGTTCCCAACTTTCAGCATCCCGTCCAATAGGTGCTACAGACTACAAGTCTTAAAAAACTTGTTCCTCAGATCACTCACACTTGGACATCAGAGAGCAACAGTAACTACTTCTATGGCTGTTTCAGGAGTTTGTTTAGGTAAGTAAAGGAATTTTTACTTTTCATTTTGTTGATTTCTTTCTTGCATTTTTGCCTTCTCATTCTTATCTTTTTTGTTTGTTTATTTGTTTTGCTTTAGTTTTCATTTCAAAAATACTGGGGGAAATTTAAATGGGCTAAACCATGAAGTACCCAGAAAAATAATTTAAGGAAGACCATAATAAGAAATAGCAAACTGTGATATTGTGAAATATGTATTTGGCCTTCTGGTGTATAGCTCCAAAATTTCTTGGAATCTCTGAAGTGATTAAAGTGTCTTTTGCATGCTAATCAGTTCAAGGTGTGATTAGAAGGTTGGGACTTTCAGCCCCACCTTCAATTTTCAGGGAGGGGAGATTGATCATCAATGAACAACCATTTAATAAATCATGCCTACATAATGAAGCCTCCATAAAAACCCAAAAGGACTGGGTTCCAGGAGCTTCTAGATAGTTGACTGTGTGAAAGTTCCTAGAGAGAGGCCACTAGGAGAGGGCATAGAAGCTCCATGCCTATCCCCTGTGCCTTGTCCCATGCATTTCTCCCATCTTGCTCTTCATCTATATCCTTTGTAATATGCTTTATAATAAATGTGTAAACCTAAGTAAAGTGCTTTCCTGAGTTCTGTGAGCTGCTCTAGCAATTAATAGAACTCGAGGAGGGGTTTGTGGGAACCCCTGATTTATAGCCAGCTAGTCAGAAGTATCAGTGACAACCTACTACAATCATGCACCACATAAGTTCATCTCCATCAATAACAGAGTGCATATGCGATGGTGGCCCCATCATGGTGCTGAAAAATGTCACCCTAGTGGCCTAGTGACTTCCTGATATTGTCATAGCACAACACATTATCTTTTTTATGTTTAGATCTGTTTCAATAAATACTTAGCATTGTGTTACAACTGCCTACAATATTCAGTAGAATAACATGCTGTACAGATATGTAGCCTAGGAGCAATAAAAGGCTATACCATATTGATACCAGTGGGCTGGGGGAGGTCCCCAAACAGCAGTGGGACCTCAACCCCAGCTTGTACCCAGGCTCCTGACATCATCGCAAGAAGGAATTAAAGGACAATTTGGAAAATAGTGAAAGTACAGAGATTTATTACAAAGTGAAAAGTACACACTCAAGAATGGGGAGTATGGATGTTCTCAAGAAAGTGTCACACAACAGGGTTAGGAGCTTCTATCTTTATGAGTTTCTTTAACTAAAGGAATATTCATGAAGGTTCCCGGAAAAAGGTGAAGATTTCTTGGAACTGTCATGGTGCTGATGGGTGTGTGATTCAGTATGTTAATGAGCGTATAATGAGGTCCTCTAAGGTCAAATCCAGAAAGATATTGGGTCCAGTGGATCTGAGCTAGTTTGGCTCACACCCTGTCTTTTTAGGGTCATATCAGCCCCTAGCTTCTGCAGCTATTTCAACAGTTTCTTTTTACTAGTCATGTGAAACTGCTCCCTGGAATTTTCTGTTCTCCTGTGCCCACCCTGTATTATTCCTATCTCAATACAGCTTAAGTGTTTAGGTTGTATCACCTTAGTTTGTATGAAACACTCTATGGTGTTCATACAATGATGAAATCACCTAACGACACATTTCTCAGAATGGGTCCCAGTCATTATGTGACACACAACTGTACTTGAGACTGGCATTTGAGGTAAGGACAGTCTTGTGGGTCTCAGTCCTTAACCTGTGGGATCTGATGCTATCTCCAGGTAGATACTGTCAGAATTGAATTGAATTCTAGGACACCCAGCTGAAGTCCACTGGAGAATTTCTTGAGCATGGGAGGGATAAATCTCCATACATTTTGGTGACCAGAAGTGAATAATTCTGTGTTGTGTTGTGAGTAGTGAGAAGAGAGAGAGAGAAAAATGTTTGTTGCTTTTTCCCCCTATTTCTAACACAACCTAATAAATAATCTAACTTATTTCTAACAAAATAAGTTCTTTAATTCCTAGATCCAGAATCCCAGTCTGGTGCTACAGACTGAACAGAGGGAGATCAGAGAGATAAAAAAAAGTCCCAACTTACATCAGAGATACCAGGATGGTGGGAGTTTCATGTCAGGGCCAAAGCCGTTGAATTTGTTTTAGATAAAACATTATGTTTATTCAGAAGAGGTCAGGGGCAATACAAAGGCAGAGAAATTGTTAGATTCAAGAGCCATCTGGAGTGTAGAAACACTAGGATAGGGTAATGAGTTGAATATTGCAGTGTAAGAATTCAGCAAGAGACAAAAGGACTACTTGATATTTGACAATATCTTGGAAGAGAACTGGAATTGGCAGCAATGGATATGGAAAGATTTTTATAATTTAAAATTTATGAAATATGTGTGAAATTTCTATCTGAACCAGACTTAAGTAAGGTCTTGTTTAACTCCTATAGGGTGGGAATTCTATGATATATTGAGATAAGTATACTACCATTTATTATGAAAACTGGTTTTCAGAATTTAAAACAATAGGATCGGGGAGCTAACTTCAAGGAACAGCTGTGTTATTTTAAAACTCCATGACTCACTAATTTTCTAAGTCTTCTTTTGTTTTGCCATTAGTTTTAATGGCAAAAGCCACAGTTACTTTTGCACCAACCTAATACCAAAAAAGTTATTATATTACCTATTTTAATGTTCTCAACAAAATATTACCTATTCTAAAAGTATTACCTACCTCTAAATATATTACCTATTCTAAAAATATTACCTATTTCTAAAAATATTACCTTTTCTAATGTTCTCAACAGAAATTTGGAAATTGAATAAGGTAAAGAACATTGCGACACTTGTATCATGCTCTTCCTTCATGCCATTCTTATCTTCCTTTTTTCTTTCATAATAAATACTGCTTGTATGACCTGAAAAGACACATGAGAAAAAATTTAAGGCTGTATGTATATTTCTTTACAAATGACAGATTTAACATAGTACAGTGTGATTTGCCTAAGCAAGGAGAGAAATCAGTTTTTTTTTTTATGTGCAGGGAACTTGGAAAATATATTACTTTAATCAGAATTTTTTTTAAAAAATCAGAATCAATTTGGGAAGAATCTAGAACACCACAAATGTCTAACAGAAGATAGATATATATCATTTTTCTGTCCGTATTTATCTCTTATTTCCTGTCCCAAAATAGTGGCAAATCTTTTAAAGTACAATTCATGCATTAACTATGTAATTTCCTAACCTGTTGTTTCTAGAAAATATGATTGAAATTCATTCTAATGTAAGCAGCTAAAACTGGAAATGCCCTGTTCCTAGTGAGGTTTCCCTTCCATGTCAGAGCTGGCAAGTAAACGTAGAATAACTTCAGAATCACTGATTAATCTAGAACAGTTTGTTCTCCATGGTTTACCTGTCAGTTTACTGCTTCAATAATGCCTTTTAGCAAACCATCCAAAACCTCAGTGGCTTACAACAACAAGCATTTATGCTCATGCCTCCGGGTCTGAGGTTTGATGGCAGTTGAACTGATCTAGGCTTGGTGGGTTGGCTAGTTCTGGTTCAGGCTGAGGGTCAGCTCAGTTTGGCTCCAGACTACAGTTCAGTTCAGTTTAGTTCCACATATACTTGATCTGGGGCCTAATGTGAGAAGGCAGTGGCTCCCGAGACCTGCTCTTCTCATGGTAGATCATGGGTGGGAAGGAACCAAGCCATACTGGACAAGTACATTTGAAGACCCCACTTGTATCACCTCTGCTAATCATCCCATTGGCTAAAGCAAGTCACATGGCCAAGCTAAACATCAATGGATCAGGGAAGTACACTCAACAGTGAAAGAAGAGGGGACTGAATATTTGCCAAATATGGTCCACACTATCATGTCATGGTTGCAAAAATGTTGCTCATATTTTGTGAAAAGATTGTCTTATAACTATTTATATCAGTCTATAAATACTAAAAGGGTGTTTTAGTGTAACATAAATATAGTATAGATATGTAAGACCTATTTTAAAAGCTAAGAAAGCCTGGTCTTAGCCCAGAGGAAATAGAATAATCTTCCTATTAAAAAGTATTTCGGGAAAGAACCATGTTTTATTTTCCATCAAGACCGTATATACAGAAAATCACTGGGAAGTTCTAACAGTTGTTTTATGTGTGTATTGTCCTCCAATATGTGTGAAATTAATGGTATATTAATATAGATTAAATGAAAAAATATTTCATTACACAGTATGCAGCTAGCCTGTGGGGTTCATTGTCACAAGAGGTCATGGAATCAAATACTATGGCTAGAATTTTGAAAGCTGTTGGAAATTTCTATGATGACTAATGGCATTCATCATTATTCATGCCAAGCTCCAGGTAATGAACTCTCCCACTTGAGGCTCTGACTGATCACCTTGTATGTCGAATGGAATGGTCCCCTTTGTGTAGCTAAACAATAGACTATTCATTTGGGAACATCCATAAGATTGAAAAACAGATAAAAAACGCATACTGGAGACCTCCAAAAATCATATTATGCTTCTACATTTCTACGTGGTAAGGGCAATCCTATCTATCACTATCAAAACTGATTTTTGTTATTATACATTTAGACCAATTGGCTTTGATCACTCTGAAGGGAAAAGATATTAACATTGCAGTTATTTTTCGATTGTATATAAATAGACAATCCATTTTAAATGCAGAATTCAAAACAAAGCCTCAAACTCTCAAAGATAAAGAAAAATCTTTGTTTTTCCTTAAAGATTTATATTAGGATTAATCTAAGTGAGGATCTCTATAGTTACAAGTACAATTTTGCTTTGCTCATCAGTAAATTCTCCACTCCCCAAGGAAATATAGGAAAAATGCAAATGTTAATATTGGTCTCCAGGTTAAGAATACAACATCATTTCTCCACCTGCATTATGAAGTGGAAAAATAGCAATAAATTAAGCAGGATAGAGACAAGTTTTCAGTTCCTTCTAAACTGTTTTTCACAGTGTTGTTTTTTTATTTTGGAAAGATTGCAATCAGCATAAAAACAAATAAATTTATATTTTAGTGTGAATAGAAAGTTTACCCTTAGGCCAAAATATATATTATCTGCTAGTTTGAATATGTAACCCCTGTTACTTACATTAATTGCTTTATTTTAGTAAAAGTTATTTTCATGGATGGAATAACAATTTCTTCTTTTGTATATAAGCAAGGAAAGCAAAACATAAAAAATCCTTCAAGTTACTTTGAATCATTTATTATTATCGGTAATTCTATGAATAAAAATACATAGTTGAGGGGATAAGGCTTGAGGTAAATTAGAAAAGAAGTAAGACAAAAGAGAGAAAGATTGATGAGGTCTTGAGTCTTAGACAAAATACAAAATACAAAGCAGAGGTAAAGTCAGTTCTTAAAAACAAAGTTGACATATAGCTAAAAGCCTGTGAAAATTTATATGTCTATTCATACTTAGAAGTATGAAAATAATATTATGGATATGATTATTTGTTGTTTCTAATTTTACAGATGTAGTTCAAAAGCATTTACATCTTAAAACTTTGGTAGAAATTTATTTCTGGCTACATATTCCAGATTGTTAGTTGGATAACTTCTATTTGACAATATAAGAATCTATTAGGAATATGTAGCCCCTCATTAATTTCATAAAAGTGAAAAGAAACATAGCACTCATAATTCTCTATTGGAATACAAAAGATGCTTGGCATTTCAATAGATCTATTTTGATTATCAAAGTGATCACAAAAGTCTGTGGACTGAAGCAGATTGTAATTTTTCTGAGACATAAGTTTAACAGATGGGGTGTAGTAGAACTGATACTTAGGTCACCACGATGGATGCAGCTATCTAACGTTGTACGTCTGAGGGATTGTGGCTGGGAATGCCAAAAAAGTTGGCATTTGAATCATAGTTGTTCTTTGCTGCAGGATCTGGAATAGGAAAAAAGTACCTTCTACCTTCTTCCTGCCCTCAATGTACAGACTATTTCTCCCACTATCAGTACCTAACGAGACCTTAGCTGAGAAGGGAGTCCAGGAAAATTGTAGAGATGAAGCCTCAGCATCACAGGAAGGGTTTAGAAGCTGGGACTGGCCATAACAGGGGAATGACCAGCCCAAAAGCTTGTTTAGTTTCTGTGGGGGGAAGAAATTCATTACTAATAATGTAACAGCTGTAGAAAGTAAATGTATGTAAGGAAGTGACGGTATTTGAAAATATGGGGATTTCATAATGTATGCAGGGATATATTGCATAAAAGCTGAATTTTTAATTAGTTTAAGCAAAACTGACTATCCTATTATGTACTGGATTGCTCTAAACTTGTTGAAGAATCACACTTTTAAGCATGGAGACAATACGGAAGTTTCAAAATCAGCTATTACTGTCAAATTGAATCATCAACATTTACTCTCCCATTTTTTAAAAACCACCATTATTTTATATTAATAAAATAAAATGTAGTCATGATATTTTATAGAAAAACCAGAATATACAATATAATATAAAAATATAATATAGAAAATATAAATATAGAAAATAAAAGTATAACTTCAGAAGAGTGAAATAACTTCTGATACATAATACATGCATTATTTTTTTCTCCCATTGTATTTTATAATTGGTCATTGCTGGTACACAGGAAAACTATTGAGTTAGACATATTTATGTTATATATAGGCACTCCCTTAAACTCTTTATTAACTCTCTTTATTCTCTGAAGATTCCAAGTAGAAAATCATGCTGTCTATAAAAAAAAAATTGGAATTCTGTCATCTTTAAAAAATTATACCAATGCCTCTTCTTCATATTACATCTAATTTGCCAGAACATAAATAAACATTATACTTTTCTTACTAAGTTGAGAATGACTCTTGGAATTAACTTTTCACCAATGTTTACTTGTATTACTCTTATAGTTTTTAAACTATTTGTCAGGCACTGGTTTGTTGCCACATGTACAGGAAGTATTCTGTTGTTATTTGAAAGTAAATTATACTTTCCTCAGGTATTTTATTGTCTTAGAGTTCCACATTTAAAAAGAAGTTTTTAAATATATATTCTGAATCACATTCATTGAATAAGGTTGAGCTATCAGCAGCTAAAGAGTGCTGAATATTGTACTAGATGCTTTGGTGAGGAAAAACTAAACCCACTAAGACCAGGAATTGCTGTTTTCATTGCAGTTGGTTAGGTAATAAGAGCTGTCACAGGGAAGGCATGATAAAGATACCAAGCAAAAATAAGAGTTAATATTGAGTGCTTATAATGTGCTGGTCACTGAGCTTTCACATTGATTATTATAATACTAAATCTTTACAATTATCCTTTGAGGTAGGATTTGCAATTATGTAAATGATGAATCAGAGGTCCAAATGAGCTTGAAGTTCTTGCTTAGGTCACTTTAATCCCTAGCCTAGCCGGTTTAGAGTGTAGGCAGCCTGATCTAGACTCTTCTTCTTAAACATTGTATAACACATTCCTCTGAGAACTTAGAAAGAAGTGTCAAGTAGATGCTAATAGGTCATGACAGTTTTATGGAGTTTTTAAAGATGATGTGGTATTTTGAGAGTGGAGAACAATTTAGACAGCTTCTCTCTAATAAGATAGTGGTGTGAAGAGGCCAGGACTTGGGAGAAACAATAGTTAGACCATCTAACTGAAGCAGAGGGTTTATAAAGAAGAATCATGATGTTGGGCAAAGACTAGGAAAATAATGAATGCTAACCTAAAGAATTTCATTCAATTATTTTACTTTATAAGTAGTGGGGAACAACAGAGGAGACAGAAGACTATGAAATAATAACCCACATCCAGTGGGCCTTCTAGATATCTTTCAACAGTGAGGTTAGAAAGGGGAATGAAGAGATTTCATCCTAAACAATTATCAAGCAAAAGAGACTTGAAGAAATCATAAGCAGCAATAATGAAGGCTGAGAAAAATATGTGACATACGGAAGTGAGCTACTTTGGATGTGCTAAATACTTTTACTTTTGCCCATTGCAGCCCCAAAGAGGGCAGTCAGTGGGAACAAAGCCTTGGGTTCAAAAGTTCTGATGCAATTTCTGTCTTCAGAATTCTATCAAACTGAGCTGGAAATATTTTTATCCAAATCCTCCTAAGATTTCAGGTAGCCTCCAGCTATGCTGAACCACTTTGACACTGTTTCAAACCTTCCATTTCTTTTATGCCTGAAGTATGGGTTTGCCTTATCTTAAAATGCACGTGTATGCATGCATGCACACACTGCACCCAACAAAAAGACTACAGAAAATAAAAGTTATAGAAATCTTTAAGAATATCAGAAAAGATTAGCTTTATATCCTGCTGTGGGGGCCTCATTCACGCCTTCTCATGAGTTTGTTCATCCATAGAAATGACCTTAGAAACAGGGATGTGTTATAAAGCTTTATTCTAAAACACATTTTAATTGACTTTCTAAATTTAAGATGGTTCTGTTTTTAACCATTTTCAGACATTTTGTGTATACCTTAAATTATTGAAAGTCTAATGCTTTTTCAGCAGCTGGCACTTTTCAGTCAGAAAGTCCATCCCATCTTATTTAAATAATCAGATGCGTGATGACTGGCAACAAAACTATTTGTAATTATGATTACAACTAAAGGTTCCATACTTCTACTAAAATTTTTAGCTGCCTCAATCCACATTTCCATGTGAAAAAGGGCATTTGCATGATTAAATCTGAGAACCATATTTTAGTCATTTTACAAATGTTCACCAGAGTAATTTAAATATATGTGTTAAATGCAAAATATTTTTAGACGATAGTGTCAAAAATATAGTGAGTGACTGATGCCAGAAAAAAAGTGTAACTTTATGAAAATTCAAATTTGCTACATATTTTAATCAACTTTAAATTTCTTTTCAGATGTATTATTTGAAGCTTTATGGAAAGCAAATAGAAGTTAAACTCTAAATCATCACTATCTAATATAAATTTCTGCTTGTTGAAATGTAGTATACCTGTTCTGTTCATTACAGTAGCCATGAGTCACCCATACTCATCATTTGAAATGTGGCTGGTGTGGCCGGTGAACTGATTTTTAAATTTTATTTAATGTTAATTAACTTATAAATAACCAATGAAGCTAGTGACTACTGTTATCAGACAATACAATCTATAGTCTGAAAGTACTTATAGTTGAAATATCTCAGTGTATATTAACCTTTCAACAATTAAGTGTTGCTGCTTCTGTATTTTTTGCATTATTAATGAATCAATAAATATAAAACACAGAGGAATCAGCATTCATACAGACACACACACACACACACACACGTGCATACATATGTTGTTTCAGTGCTTAAAACAATCGATATAGTAAAAATCCATTGCTGCTAAATGAGGAGAGAATCTTCAAGTAACCAGATACTTTCTCACAGGTGAGTTCTGGTTCTCCAGAGATGGATCTCTGTTAAATGTTTGTTTTATATATTTATATGTATCTATATATATTGGAGAAAATTATGTGTTAATATATATGCATACATTTCTCATCAGCTTGGAACATTAGAAATGAACCATTATCCTCTTTTCTGGCTAAAGGCATTGAAAAGACTCTCAATGTGTATTTTGCTGGTTAAATATATGTCCTTCAAACATCCTGGCTCTATACGTCTTTGCAGGGTCTTAAAAATATATCCAAGACCTATTTCACTTAGTAGCCCTACTAAATGTACAGTTATAGCTGTTAAAGGTTGATGCACGGTCTCACACAACAGAATAAATAAATGGTAGCTGTCACACAAAATTATTCACCCTCTACCTTTCCAAGACTTGCTTTTGTGGTGCTATTACTGCCTGGATCCCTTTCTTGTTTTTTACCCCTACTTCAATTGATTGTAGATGTTTTTGGTGTTTTTCCCCTTCTAATGTATCACCTATTTTATTCAAATATGTAGGTGGAATATTTTTAAGTGAATCAATAATGAAGTAGTTGAGACCACAGGCCTCATCACCCTCTACATGCTATTAGTATTAGATTCCCAAGGGGCAACTGTACAGTGAACCGCGGTAATGAGGTTGATAGTTCATGAAGGGGCTGATGTGACAAATTGCCAACCTGCTGCAGGAAAGCCTCCCTAACCCTCCAGAAGGCCAATGTTATTCCAATTTTCATCCAGTTTTGCTCTCATTCTAAATGTGCCAGTGCTGACACCATACATATTTGAATGATTTAAATGGATACACTCACTGCCCCCCTTAGAAAGGAGAGCACCTGGCGGCATGTACATTTATAATCCCCTTTTCAAATTGACATGCTCTCAGGGTGAATTTAATCAGCATTTGTCACAGATTTTAAAGCACAAAAAGATGTTTTATTTTTTATAACTTATGTTAGAGGTATTTGTGAGACCTGTATCTTCTTTTGCTGTTCTGGATCCGTAAGCACTTTTTAGCTCTATTATTCCTCTCTTGATAGTCGTATTAATGGACTTTTGTTGTATTCTCTCATATTTGAATGAAACATCTTGCAGGCATCTTTTCACTCCTTTTCTCTCCCTGAGTGTAATTCATATAAGAAAGGCGAAACTCCACTTATTGAAAAAGGCTCAAATATTATGTCAGGTGAATTTCTTTACAGAGCTTTTTTTAAGATTCATCTTATTCTTTACTTTTATCTTCATCTCTTCATCCTACCTTTAAAGATTTTTTTTTTTTTTTTTTTACTAAAGTGTTATTGTTAGCAAATGGACAATGAAAATGAGTCATCTCTGACTTTCAGGGGAAATTTTAGCCGGAATTGCACTGTCTGTGCATCAAGTCTTTCACAAGACATTCATAAGCATTTTTAAAGAAGCTTATACTTCGTAGAGTGGTTCCCAAACTACCATGAGTTGACCTGCAGAGAAGCCACTGGACATTGTGTGCTCAATTTCTGAGAGCGAAACTAAAGCATTTTTATACATAAAGGCGCTAAAATAAATGCTTTAATTCTTTAGATGCCTCTAAAATTCCTATTTTGCATTAATGACCTCCACAGCTTAATAAAAAATAATGTTTTAAAACTTGAACACTGACCCCTATAGCCCCGAGACTCTAGCTTCTATGAATACATACAGCACAGGGTTTTCTTTTCCAAGTCTTTAGGGATTCAATTCTCTAACCATCACATGTATTAGATGACTCTGGCACATCAATTTTGAACTTATGTTGTTTCACCTTGTGTTTAACTGTGAAACACTTCAGTTATTCTCATGCTATTTCTTAGGCATATCATATGTTTTGTCTTCTTATCTAAACCTTTTTTAAATTACAGATTCAGCAGGTACCTGTGCAGGTTTGTTATCTAAACTTTTTGAGCTAAGGCACATATAGTGTCTTTTGTCAGACCTCGGCTGTAAGATTTTCAGTAAATGCTGGTTAATTGTGTCCTATTTGTTATCAGTTGCTCCTGTTATTCACTGTGGGAATTTCATCATCTTGTAGTTTCTTACCATGAGGAATCACTTTTTACCTTATACTACTCAGAGATAGCGTGTTGCACATTTCAAACATCTACTGCTCAGCCAGAGAATGTATTTAAGTTTCAGACACTTATTTTTATTTTATTGCCCCAGAGGGCACCTTTATTCCCTGAACATCTATCTGTTGAATGCTGAGGTGGGTCAGGCACAGTGCCAGGAACAGGTAAACAAACAGACACAAATTCCTCTCCTCATGGTGTTTATGTTCCAGAGAGCTGCATTTTCTTGTAGCTGATAATTTCTCAAGGAACATTAGGAAAAAGGAATGAATAAAAGGCAGGCATGTTAGTGCCTGTCCTCTGAGAGGCAAATACCAATATAAGATAAAATGTGCAAGGATTTTATTAAGAAAATGCCTGTGTGAAAGGAAATAGAGCCAGTCCAATTATGGCTTGGCTTGGTTGACAGAATTCAATCTAAAATGGGTGGTTCTAGGTGCGGGATAATTTTGTGCCCTGTAATCAAGAATTTCATCAATATCAGAATCCAGTGAAAAGTTTCTGTTTCTCAAAAGGGTGTGGAATTCTCTGTTGCTGATGGCATGGCCTCACTTCAGATTCATAGGAGACTGTATCTTAGAAAACTTTCCAGTACACTAAGTACCTCTTACTTGCCTTGTCAACTTGATGTTGTCACTGTAACGAATTGTGTATTGTTCTATGGGGTGTCCTGGTGTTCCAGATCTCTGTGTAATATACAATGGCAGAGGGCAATTTATCACAACTGCACACCAAAAATTTAAATAATAATTTTGCTGCTCATGTGAATGCAAATATTTCTGATCTTCCTTTCTAATTGGAATACAGTGGAATGACTTTATACTATGTACCTGGCAACTTATTAATACATTCTAACAAAGATACCACATTTAGCACTGTAGCTATGACTGGGGCTGCTGCCTGGCTACACCTGTCATCATTCTCTAAGTTCCCTCTGATTTCCGCAGGAGCCAGAATTAAGTAGAGATATGATAGGGACAACAATGCTTAAATATGTTATGTCTCTCATGGTGGCACTAATCTGTACTTTCCCCCAGTGAGATGATATTGGTTTGGATATATTTGGGAGGAAGGTCAAGAGGAGGGGGCAGTTTCAGAAGTTTTCGTTTGGCCTTCACCAGTATGTTAGCTCTTATTCTATAGACCAAGAACTCAATGTGGAAGTTAATTCTAACTGCCGTTTATGCACCCAATGATTGGGAAACTGATCATCCATTGTCTGGGGCAGGCAAGTCCACTGGGAGTCAGACTGTAACTAGGACCCCCTTGTTAATTGGCCTTTATAGATTTCCACTGTAACAAGGAGACGATGATGAAGTCTTGTGTCTTTAAATATCAACGTTGACCCAAATCCTGTTTCCAATGCTCCTCAAAATGTCTGATTTAAAGCAGCAATTTAACCATTATTGGTTGGTCCATTTATTTTTCCTCTAAAGACACTATGGTCTATTATCCATCTCTACAATTCCCTGCTGGTCAAGTCCTTTTGGATTCTCCTCCTACCTTACCTATTTTATGAACACTGTGGGCTCCTGGCTTCTGGTGATTAAGCACTGCTGTTTGACCTCTAGTACTTTGGGGTCCTTCATCCCAAAGGATGTTAATGAGCTCAGTTATATAAGCGTCTCTCCCACCTGCATGCCTGGCCTGCACAGAAGAGCTGCCATTGCACTTCTTACTGATGTTGGTATCCCTCTTAGCAACACATTCCTGATGGCCTTGGAAAATATAGTCTCTGGGCCCCTCACATGGAGCATACTCCTCTGGTGGATTTTCTGGCTTCACCTAATATATCTGGCTTGACCTAGTAAGCAAGCCTCATCATTTACTTTTCTCCATTTTTGTGTTCCTTTTTTAAGCTCTGCAAGGGGACACAGGCATTTTTATGTCACTGAGACATGGTCAGTGTTTATTCCAGACTTCTAAGAGCCACACAGCAGTGG
Organism: Homo sapiens; assembly: GCF_000001405.40. NCBI lineage: Eukaryota > Metazoa > Chordata > Mammalia > Primates > Hominidae > Homo > Homo sapiens. Next base: position 95,954,595 of record NC_000004.12, on the reverse strand, counting down.
GCAGTGAGTTTAACTCATCCCCCAGGGTCCTTGCTAGGGTGTTAAATCTCTTCTCAAGAAAGTGTTCCCATGTCAAATGAACGTCTGCTTTTCAGCCTGACATTCTAGTTCCTTGATCAAGCACCTTCATCATCCAATTTCAGAGAACTTCTGCGGCTCCTGCTGGCACATGCCAGCTAGTTCTTGTAATTTCTTAGTTGTATAGTCTTTTCTCCTTTATCATGCCAGCATGCCACCAGTTGGGCTATGCTGGGATTTCGTCCTATTTATCAACCCAATACCTAGGTTGGAGGAGGTGGGAAGTATCCGACGGGAGCCCCTATTGCCTTGTGGGGGAGAGGCTTCTGCAGCATCCTCCATTGCAGTGTACTTACCAGCTCTTATTAGGAAGAGGCAGACCACTTCTGCAGGCCTAGGGATTGGAGGCAATGCAGAATCCACATCCTCAGAGGCATCCTTCCAGATGTCTCCACTCATGTTTTCAGGATTCCAGGTTTTCCTGATCAGCATCCTGACCTCAGCATAACGCACCTTGGTTGGGAGTTCAACTATCTATCGAGCTCGGCAACTCTCAAAAATTAGACCTTCAGGCTACTTTTCCAATTATGTCTGTCCTTCTACTACAGGCAATGAGGTCCTCTTTATAAGCCATAACTTGGGCTTTGTGTTTATCAAACTCGCTGTTAACAACTCTCATCTCTCATTATCCTTGCAGAGCATAAGCACAACTTAACAGTAACCAGCCAGTTCTGCTGCCTTAGTAGGCATATGATATGGCTTGGGTTTGTCCCCAACCAAATCTCATCTTGAATGTAGTTCCCGTAACCCTCACATGTTATGGGAGGGACACAGTGGAAGGTAATTTAATCATGAGGGCAGTCACCCTCTTGCTGTTCTCATGCTAGTGAGTGAGTTCTCATGATATCTGATGGATTTATAAGGGGCTTTTCCTTCTTTGGCTTGGCACTTCTCCTTGCTGCTGCTGTGTGTAGAAGGATATGTTTGCTTCCCCTTCTGCCACGATTGTAAGTTTCCTGAGGCCTGCCCCATCACGCTGAACTGTGAGTCAATACAATCTCTTTATAAATTACCAAGTCTCAGGTATGTCTTATTAGCAACATGAGAACAGACCAATACAGTAAATTGGTACTGAGAGTGGGTGCTGTAAAGATACCTGAGAATTTGGAAGCGACTTTGGAACTGGGTAACAAGCAGAGGTTGGAAAAATTTGGAGGGCTCAGAAGAAGACAAGAAAATGTGGGAAAGTTTGGAACTTCCTAGAGACTTGGAGGGCTCAGAAGACAGGAGGGTGTGGGAAACTTTGGAACTTCCTAGAGACTTGGAGGGCTCAGAAGACAGGAGGATGTGGGAAACTTTGGAACTTCCTAGAGGCTTGTTGAATGGCTTTGACCAAACTGCCAAATGATAATGATATGGACAATAAAGTCCAGTTTGACATGGTCTCAGATGGAGATGAGGAACTTGGTGGGAACTGAAGTAAAGGTCACTCTTGCTATGCAAAGAGACTGGCAGCATTTTGCCCCTACCCTAGAGATCTGTGGAACTTTGAATTTGAGAGAGATGAGTTAGCTTATCTGGTGGAAGAAATTTCTAAGCGACAAAGCAGTCAAGAGGAAGCAGAGGATAAAAGTTTGGCAAATTTATAATGCAATAGAAAAGAAAACCCTATTTTCTCAGGAGAAATTCAAGCCAGCTGCAGAAATTTGCATAAGTAACAAGGAGCCAAATGTTAATCACCAAGACAATGGGGGAAAATGTCTCCAGGGCATGTCAGAGACCTTCACAGCAGCCCTTCCCATCACAGGTCTGGAGACCTAGGAGGAAGAAAATGATTTCGTTAGCCAGGCCCAGGGCCCCCCTGCTCTATGTAGCCTTGAAACGTGGTGCCCTGTGTCCCAGCTGTTTCAGCTCCAACTGCAGCTAAAAGGGGCCAACATACAGCTCAGGCCACTGCTTCAGAGGGTGCAAGCCCCAATCCTTGGCAGCTTACACATGTTGTTGAGACTGTGGCTACACAGAAGAACTGAGGTTTGGGAACTTCTGACTAGATTTCAGAGGATATATGAAAATGCCGGGATGCCCACGCAAAGTTTGCTGCAGGGGAGAAGCCCTCATGGAGAACCTCTGCTAGGGCAGTTCAGAAGGGAAATGTGGGGTCAGAGCACCCATACAGAGTCCCCACTGGGGCACTGCCTGGTATAGCTGTGAGAAGAGGACCACCTTCCTCCAGACTACAGAATGGTAGCTCCACTGACAGCTTGTACTGTGTGTGTGGAAAAGCCTCAGACACTCAATGCCAGCCCATGAAAGCAGTCATGAGGAGAGCTGTACCCTGCAAAGCCACAGGAGTGGATCTGCCCAAGTCCATGGGAGCCCACCTCTTGTAGCAGTGTACCCTGTATGTGAGACATGGAGTCAAAGAATATCATTTTGGAATTTTAAGGTTTAATGACTTCCTATTGGATTTTGCACTTGCATGGGGCCTGTAGCCCCTTTGTTTCGGCCAATTTCTTTAATTTGGAATGGCTGTATTTATGCAGTGCCTTTACCCCATTATATTTAGGAAGTAACTAACTTGCTTTTGATTTTACAGGCTCATAGGTGGAAGAGACTTGTCTTGTCTCAGATGGGACTTTGGACTTGGACTTTTGAGTTAATGCTGGAATGAGTTAAAACTTTGGGGACTGTTGGAAGGGCATGACTGTGTTTTGAAATGTGAGGACATGAGATTTGGGAGGGGTCAGGGGTGGAATGATATGGTTTGGCTCTGTCCCCACCCAAATCTCATCTTGAATTATAGTTCCCATAACCCCACATGTCCTGGAAGGGACCTGGTGGGAGGTAATTTAATCATGGGGGCAGGTACTTTCATGCTGTTCTTGTGATAGTGAGTGAATTCTCACGAGATCTGATGGTTTTTATAAGGGGCTTTCCCCCCTTCTCCTTGCTGCCTCCATGTAATGAAGAACATGTTTGCTTCCCCTTCTGCCATGATTGTAAGTTTCCTGAGGCCTCCCTAGCCACGCTGAACTGTGAGTCAATTAGACCTCTTTCCTTTATAAATTACCCAGTCTCAGGTATGTCTTTATTAGCAGCATGAGAATGGACTAATACAGCATATTTTCCCAGTGTTTTCCTAGTTACTCTAAAATATTTTCATGTTTTCACTATAAGTACTGCTCAATCCTTTTGTACTGGTATGTTTATTTCTATAGAACAGATAACAAAAACATGGGATTTTTTGGTTAAAGTATATTTAAAATTTTATATATATATATATATATATATATATATATATATATATATATATATATAATATAGTATTCCTGTTCTGTTTCTGTTGTAGCCATTCATGTTTTCACCAGTAATCTATGATATTACTTATATTCATCATACTCTCCAATATTGAATATCAAATTTCTCATATTCACCAATTTTGTACATGAAAAAAAAATGTTCTCATTGTAGTCATAACTTGCATTTTCCTGACTGCCAGTCAGGAAATATTTTTAATGGCCATCTAGTTTGTACTTATTTGTTAACATTTTTTGCCCGCTTCTCTATTTCATTTGCCTTATATTTGTCAGCTTATAGAATCTATTTGTATACGAATGTTGCAAATAGTTTATTTTTATTTTGACTTTATGTAGCTCTTGGTATGGTATTATTTCATTTAATGTGTATATATATATATATATTTGCTTACACCCTATGTGTTTTCAACCTTGCTTAAAAGCTGAACATACCAGAGGACTATACAAAGCATCTTAAATTTTTTTCTAAATATTTTTCATAATTTCTTATATGTTTTCATCTAAATTTTCAAACTTTGATGCATTTGAAATCTATGCTCGGTAGAAAGAATGTGTCTGTGTTTTTTTTCTTCCATCAGGCAAGCCAATTACACCAGGACATTTATTAATCCTTTTTTGGATTTTTTGTTGTATAAATTTAAGATATACAACTTGATGTTTTGATATAAACATCATAGTGAAGTAATTACTATAGGTAAAAAAATTTAACGTATCTATTACCTTCCATAGTTACCTTTCATAAGGTTACTATGAAATTCATACATTTTAGGTAAGAGCACCTAAAATCTATTCACTAAGAAAATTCTCAATATTTAATACATTATCAATTATAGTCCTCCTGCTATACATTAGATCTCTAGACTTATTTATCTTATGTAACTGTACATTTGTACCCTTTGACCCGTATCTTTCCATTTCCACTGCCTGATTTATGGTAAATTCCTCTCTACTCTCCATTTATATATAGTCGACTTTTTTGTTTTTAGATTATACATATAAGTGAGATGATTTTTTCTTTGTCTTGCTTATTTCATTTAGCATAATGTCCTCTCCATGCATCTATATTTTTGCAAATGGTAGTATATTATTTTGTAATATTGAATAATATTCCATTGGTGGAATATTATTTCACAATTTCTTTGTCCATTTATCTGTCGATAAACACCTAGGTTGATTTCATGTCTTGGCTATTGTGACTAGTGTTGCAATGAAAATGGGAGTGCAGATATCTCAAGGTACTTATTACATTTTCTGTGGGTATGTACCCAGGAGAGGGATTGCTGGGTCATATGGTAGTTCTAGTAAATAATCTTCTTGACAACTATGTCCAAACTTAGTCATAATTCATCTAGTAAAGATTTTTTCCTTCAAAAACTCTATTTTTAAATTTCAGAACTTCTTAAAATAAATTATTTCATATCTAACAATAATTATTTCTTTTTAGGGCTTTTTGGTTGGTTGTCAATTGATTTAGCAATATTTTTTCTTTCTCTATTAGTGGTATTTTCTTTCACCACATAAAAAATACGTATTTCAAAATGTTTCTTATTTTATTCATATACTTTGGAAGTGTGAAAAAAGTAAAAGGCATAAGCATATTTGTTCATTTCTGCTTGAACTGCTGACTCTGTGATAAAACGCAGTTCTTCTGAAGAATTCTTTGCAGATAAAACAGGATAGAGCACTCGGCCCCCTGCATCTCATCTCTGATCTGAGTCACTGCATTCCTTAAAAGACAAATGACCTTGGCCTGGCCTCTTCTTACACATAAGATAATGTCTGACAGCAATAGTGATTATGCTTCTCCAATCTATAATTGAATGTTCTTTCATAATCTATAACCAGATGTACTCTTATACCCAAACTTTGATATGCTTTTGCACATACTGAATCTTCACCACCAGTATATAAACTGTGATTTAAAAGACTGTCTTGGAGCAGTCTGATAGAACTGCTCCCAGGCTACAGGCCTCAGTCTGTAATCCTCAGAAAGACTTCTGAATAAAACTAACCTTAATTTTTTAAAGCTTAATTTTATTTTATTTAGTCAACAGAAGTTTATGTGACTAAGTTGGTTTAGCCCCAGTCCCCTGGGGCCCCCAATTCATTAGCTTCTTCCTGTATTAACATTGGAGAGACCAGAGATCCACTCATTGTCTCAGCTTGCATCACACTCCATCTACACTACGAGATGTGTATGTGTGTTCCCTCTAGCACGTAAGTTCACACAAAGTTTAGCTCCAGCTTTTTCAGACTATGTTTCACATATATGTTCAAGTAGGGATCCTAACTGCAGCCTCTTGCTTAGTGGGGCATTTTGTCTCCATCACTGTGCAGGAGCAGAAGACTCAGCCACCTTTGCTTGCTTCTGACCCAGCCAAAGAGTCCTACAGTTTCATCCTATTTCCACATTATTTTCTCTTTAATTTCTAATAGAGGTATTTGTTTAGTTTTAAGCCTAAAACATGTCCTCTTAGTTTTCCCTACTTATATTTTATGCATTCTTGCTTTGTCTTTGTTGAGGACACAAAATCTGACACTGTCTTAACTAGAAATTATTTACTACTGCCAAATCAAAATGACTCCCAAAGTTCCTTAAGTGTTGGGTCTACTGATAGAAGTTATTTTGTTCTAACATGATATTTGGAATAAAGAACAGGTATACTCACTTTATTGGGCCTCACTTTATTGCACATAGCAGATATTGCATTTGTTACAAATTGAAAGTTTGTGGCAATCCTGTGCTCAGCAAGTCCATTAGCACTGTACCATTTTCCCACAGCTTGTGCTCACTTCATGTCTCTTTGTCACATTTTGATAAACTCCCAATATTTCACACTTTTTAATAATTTATGTATTTGTTATGGTAATCCATGATCAGTGATCTTTAATATTACTATTGTAATTGTTTTGGGGTACCACAAACTGTGCCCATATAAGACAGTGAACTTAATCAATAAATGTTGTGTGTTCTGACTGTTCCACTGACTGGCCATTCCCCCGTCTCTCCCTGTCTTCAAGCTTCCCTATGTCTATTGTCTGAAACACAACAATATTCAAATTAGGCCAGTTAATAACCAAACAATGTACTTAAGTGTTCAAGTGAAAGGAAGAGTCACATGTCTCTCACTTTAAGTCAAAAACCAGAAATGATTAAGCTTAATGAGGAAGGCATGTCAAAAGCCAAGATAGTCTGAAAGCTAGGCCTCTTGTGCCAAACAGCCAAACTGTGAATTCAAAGGAAAAGTTCTGGAAAGAAATTAAGTGTGCTACTCTAGTGAACACAGGACTAATAAGAAAGTGAAACAGCCTCATGACTGATATGGAGAAAATTTTAGTGGTCTGATGAGAAGATCAAACCAACTACAACCTTCCCTTAAGCCAAAGCCTAATCCAGACCAAGGCCTTAACTCTCTTAAGTTGTCTGAAAGCTAAGAGAGGTGAGGAAGCTGCAGAATAAAAGTTGGGAACCAGCAGAAGTTGGTTCATGAAGTTTAGGGAAAGAAGCCTTTTCTATAACATAAAAGTGCAAAGTGAAGCAGCAAGTGCTGATAAAGAAGCTACAGCGATTTATCCAGAAGATCTAGCTAAGATCACTGATGAAGGTGACTACACTAAACAACAGTTTTCAGTGTAGACAAAACAGACTTCTATTAGAAGAAGACATGATCTAGGGCTTTCATAGCTAGAGAGGAGAAGTCATATCCTTCAAAGTTTTAAGAGACATGCTGACTGTCTTGTCAGGGAGTCATACACCTAGTGACTTTAGGTTTAAGCCTGTGCTCATTTATCGTTTTTAAAATCCTAGGGACCTTAAGAATTATGCTAAATCTACTGTGTCTGTGCTCTGTAAATGGAACAACAAAGCCTAGATGACAGTACATCTGTTTACAGCATGGTTTACTGAATATTTTAAGCCCAGTGTTGAGACCTACTGATTAGAAAGAAAGATTTCTTTCAAAATATTACTGGTCATTAACAGTACACCTTGTCAGCCAAGAACTTTGATGGTGAAGTACAAAGAGATTAATATTGTTTTCATGGACTGTATCCTATGCCAAGTATAGCCTTACAAAATGTAATTCTTGATAATACTTGAAAATCGAAATGGATATTCTGCAGCCCATGGATCAAAGAGCAATTTCAAATTTCAAGTCTTACTATTTAAGAATTACATTTTGTAAGGCTTTACTTGCCCCAGATAGTGATTCCTCTGATGGATCTGGGCAAAGTAAATTAAAAACCTTCTGAAAAGGATTCATCATTCTAGATGACAGTAAGAACATTTGTCATTCATGGGAGGATGTCAAAATATCAACATTAATAGGAGTTTGAAAGAAGTTGATTCCAACCCACTTGGATGACTTTGAGGAGGTCAAGGCTTCAGTAGAGAAAGTAACTGCAGATGTGGTAGAAATAGCAAAAGAACTAGAATTAGAAGTGAAGTCTGAAATGGGATTGAGTTGCTGTAATATCATGATCAAACCTGAAGGGATGAGGAAGTGTTTCTTATGGATGAGCAAAGAGAACAATTTCTTGAAATGGAAACTACTCCTGGTGAAGATGCCGTTACATCATTGAAATGACAACAAAGGATTTGGAATATTATAAAAACTTAGTTGATAAAACAGTGGTAGTCTTTGAGAGGATTATCTCTAATTTGGAAAAAATCCTACTCTGGGTAAAATACTATCAAACAGCATGGAATGCCACACAGGCATCTTTCATGAAAGGAAGAGTCAATTGATATAATGAACTTTATTGTCATTTCATGTTAAGAAATTACCAAAACCACTCCAATCTTCAGCAACCACCATCCCGATCAGTCAGCAACCATCAATATGCAGAAAAGCCCTCCATCAGAAAAAGAGTACAACTTGCTGAAGGCTCAGATGACCACTAGCACTTTTTAGCAATAAAGTGTTTTTAATTAAGGTATATATAATTTTTTAGACATAGTGCTATTGCACTTAGCATACTATACTAGGGTATAAATATAACTTTTATATGCATGAGACACCAAAAATTTGTGTGAATTACTTTATTGCAATATTCACTTTATTGTGGTGGAACTGAAACCCCAATATCTCTAAGGTATGCCTGTAGTTGTATAGTAAATTATAATATTTTGTAAATTGTCCTCACTATACTTTTTCAAATTATTATTGGTTTTTACAGCAACTTAGAAGTTCAAATCTAAAATACATCATGAGGATACCCATTGGCTATATTAACTATATATCAATTTATAAAGGCTTGACGATTTTAAGAAATTGCCATTCTAGAAATAGGTTATATCTCTCTATTGTGGAAATTTTATTTCCTGCTACAGAAATTTATAATGTCTACACTGTTTTAGTTAATTTAACCCAAATATTTTTTAAAACTATTATGAATGGATATCTTCTCTAAGTGATTAATTTAGGGAGGCCGAGGTGGGCATATCATCTGAGGTCAGGAGTTCAAGACCAGCCTGGCCAACATGGCAAAACCCTATCTCTACTAAAAATAGAAAAATTACCCGAGTGTGGTGGCATGTACCTGTAATCCCAGCTACCCAGGAGGCTGAGGCAGGAGAATCGCTGGAACCCCGGGGGAAAGAGGCTGCAGTGAGCCGAGATTGCGCCACTGCACTCCAGCCTGAGCAACAGAGCAAGGCTCCATCTCAAAAAAAAAAAAAAAAAAGAAGATAGCTGCTCATCTTTGTGTATATAATTTTTATAAAAGAAACATTGTAATTTTTTTAATTCTAAAATATTTTACTAGAGTCTCTTTTAATGGAATCAGATGATAATTGTATAATGTAGAGCTAAAAATCAGATTGGAAAAATCATACTTTTCCAATATTTATACCATGTATTAAATTTTTACATTTTTTCTTAAATATAACTTCTACAATAGTGATAATATTAGTCATAAAAGTATCACTGTTATAACCCTAATTTTAATAGTAGTTTTAACATTTCACAATTTATATATTTACTCTTGATTTTTGTTTGAGAAAGATTTATTATTTAAAGTAGTTTTCTTCTATTCATATTTAAAGTAGAGCTTCAATTAGAAATGGTTGTTGAATTTCATCAATGTCATCTCAGCATCTATTGATGCAAACATATTCTTTACTTCTTTGTCACATTGATGTCATCAATTATTCTGGTATTCTCTGTAGTGGTAACCATATGCAGTTTCATACTTGGTCATTGTGAAGTAGTATTTTTAATACACTTCTGGACTTGCTTTGCTATTATTTTATAAAGTGTATTTGTTCTATCTCCATTAAGAGATTTCCACAATATCTATCAGACTTTGGCATTAAGGTTTTCTAGGAATCCTAATTATAATTAAGGCATTTTCCATATTTTTCTACAACTTAGACTAAACAACATAGGGAATGTTGTTTTTAAAATTTGAACATAATTTACCTTTAAGACCATGTTTATCTTTATTTTTCAACCCCGTTGTGGTTATTATTCTCTCACTTTTTCTTCCATTACTCACAGCAATTTTGGTTTATTCTACCAAGAAACACTCATTTTATTTAAAATGTGCTCCACAGATTTTCAAAAAGTATCTCCTATGATTCATAAGTTTTTTTCTTGCAAATACATGTTAATCAACTTTTAAGTATTCTAAGAACACAATAAAATTCTCTTTCTGAAATATATATGTATCTATGTATATCTATTAAAATAAAATTATTGAGTATATTATTTACCTAACTCTCCCTGTCAACTTGATAAGTCAAATTCTGCACAAGGTATTATATTATCAACTACTATAAATTACATTTTTTATACATGCTTCTGTGTGTTCTTAGGCATTTATAGATTTGTCTGGTACATTGTTTGGTGCATAAAGCTTTATGGCTATAGATTATTCTCAGCTTTCACCTTTTATTATTTTATAGTAAAAATCTTTGTCCTGTTTAATGACCTTGTCCTTGGAGTCTGTTCTGTCTTATATTAATAGAGCCACTTTTGCTTTCATTTTGTTTATATTTGCCTGAAATATCTTTGCCCATATCTTTGTATTCAAACTTTCTTTTCCATCAGTTCCACTTAATGGAAGTTCATAACCTAAACTTTATACCTAATCTTTCCTTCTCAGTTTTTTGAGTACTCTTAATCACCATTTTTCTTTTCCTATTCAAATGGATTAAAAAATAAAACTCCAACAAAATTCAGGCTTATATTGATACAAGAGATAAATTTAAAAGAAAACATAGAAAAGCTGTGTGCTCCTTGGCACCTACAAAGGATAGACAGTAAGGTCTCTCAAACTTGGTGGACCAGTAAGAAGTGGGAGGCAACTGGGCTAAAAACCATCCCTTTTCTCTGAGGTATGAAAATGAAGCCTGACTGTAGACAAACTCTCTGATTACTATATGTTTAAAAAATCATGTAAGTTTTTCTAGAGATTTCATACTCTTATTTCCTCACCTATAAACCATAGCCTGGGAACTCTATTTCTTCTTGTTCAGCCCACCTATAGCCACATCTAAACAGAGATTCCCAATCCCTGGAGAGGCCTCTTTCATCTTGGTACAAAAGCAGGCCTATAATTTTCAAAGAACCATGTTCTAGATGTGATCTGGTATCAGATTTATTAACTTATTTTTTTTCCTTTTTGGACAAAACCTTTAGGAAAAAAATAATTCAACCTGGGAATTAAATCAGTAATCATTTGAAGCAAAATTCCCAGGAAACTTCCAAGTTGTCCTTCAGCTTGTTATCATAAATTTTTTTGGACAGGAAGGAATCATAATGCTGAGAGCAAACTTTTTCCCTACTTCTAATGGGCCCTTCCTTGTGGAGGAAGCTCCATTATATGGTTAAATGTGTGGTCAATCCTTACTTCCTCGCTCCTTTCAAGGGGAAGAGGTGAGTTTAGGAGAGGAAAATGGGCATGTCTATCTCAGTTGCTTCTGCTTCCCCCTCTTAGAAAGCAACAGAGATGGCAGGGCATGGTGGCTCACACTTGTAATCCCAGCACTTCGGGAGGCTGAGGCGGGTGGATCATGAGGTCAAGAGATCGAGACCATCCTGGCCAACATGATGAAACCGGGTCTCTACTAATATACAAAAAAAATTAGCTGGGTGTGGTGGCACATGCCTGTAGTTCCAGCTACTTGGGAGGGCTGAGGCAGGGGAATCATTTGAATCCGGGAGGTGGAGGTTTCAGTGAGCCGAGATCACACCACTGCACTCCAGCCTGGTGACAAAGCAAGACTCCATCTAGAAAAAAAAAAAAAAAAAAGAAAAGAAAAGAAAACAAGCAAGCAACAGAGATAAAACAGCACACATTGCGCGTTCTTCATTTGTGCTTCATATTCTAAAGGTTTAGGCCTGTCCCTGCAAACTATACTGGTTCGGTACATAGAGGTAATTTTACTTCAGAAAAATGAAACATTGGGTTAAAAACAGATTTGGTAAAGAAGTGGAAATTGGGAAATGCAATGCCACCAAAATTCTAGTTGAAACTTGGTGGTTTGCAACAGTTTAGATTGTTCTATGTGGATGGTTTTTGAAGTTAACTAATAACTCCATACCCAAGAAGATTTTAAGTTCTAGGTCACCTATGATATTTTCATGGAAAAACTCCTTTCCTGGAGTATTGTAATTTAGTACTGACTAATGTGTTCTAAAAATGTCACTTTCAGTACTAGGAGTTCTGTGATCTGTTTCCATGTTGAAACTGACTTTGCCTGCTGATTACTGGATGGTTTGAATGAATTAGCTAGCCTTACACAACTATGCTGAGCCTTTGCAAGTTCTAGGAGGTCTTAGGAGTCTCAACAAGAAAAATTCAGCCATTGTAGGGTCTTACCAGCCTTACAAAGGCAAACAATCAGAATCAGCAAAAGCTCAAACTTTAGATGATGTAGGTTCTAAAGAACAGGCTTCTACAGCTTTCCCTTGGTCTATGTTAGTCCAATATTTGCTGAGCTGGTTCGGGGCAAGGATTGCATTTTTAAAAAGGAGTCTTTCATTTTGCAGCCATCTTAGAAATTAGGAGGCAGGGCCGGGGGCAGTGGCTCAGGCCTGTAATCCCAGCACTTTGGGAGGCTGAGGCGGGCGGATCACGAGGTCAGGAAATCGAGGCCGTCCTGGCTAACATGGTGAAACCCGGTCTCTACTAAAAAAACACAAAAAAATTAGCCGGGCGTCGTGGCGGGCGCCTGTAGTCCCAGCTACTCGGGAGGCTGAGGCAGGAGAATGGCGTGAACCTGGGAGGCGGAGCTTGCAGTGAGCCGAGATTGCGCCACTGCGCTCCAGCCTGGGCAACACAGCGAAACTCCGTCTCAAAAACAAAACAAAAAAAGAAAGAAAGAAAGAAAGAAATTAGGAAGCAGAACACAAGTGTATTTTTTTCAGATTTTTTTAGGCTGGTCTTCTAACAACCAAGATTCATTTCTCCTAAAAATAACTACTCTGCACACACATAGGCCACCCCATTTATGTTGTTTTTCATGTTGTTTTTTAAACTACATTCAGTTCCACAGGAATAATCTGAGAAAGGGCTAAATTCTTCAACTCAGGTGACTTTTATGAGCTCTTAAAGGTTGCTTACCCTGCATGTTTCCAACTTGGCTCAGTATATTTATACATGTTCTAACTATGGATTTTAGCTAATTCACTCATAATAGAGAGATTTTATGAATCAACAAAAAGTAAAGGGAGCCACATCAGAAATAGAATGTTCCATATTCTCTGCTTGGAGCAAGAAAACAAACTCAGTTTATTACAGACACGAAGACTAAAACAGCAAATTCAAAAAGCTTGTTCTTAAAACACTATCTGAGAAGTCAAATTTGCACATAAAATAAAAAAAGTGGAAGGTATTAACAAAGGTGTGAAAGTATAGATCAGCTTTGCTTTTATATCAAGAGTGGTAAAGGATGAAAACCAAAGAAAGAAAGACAAAATTATTAAGTTCAGGGTGAAAACAGAGATTTCCCTAGGAGAAAGGTGCACATATTAAGAGAAAACCAGGTAGACATGAAGATTAGTTTGTATCTTAGAGATCATGATATGCAAATAGAAAGAGAAAACAATATACTCACTTCTAGCTTCTCTTAAAATATCTATGGGAAAGGGGGAAATTTTGTTGCCATTAAATCAGTAAAAGTTGTAGGGAACTAGAAAAATTTATTAATTGCCTTCTCGAAAGAAAAGCCAAATCTGAAATAATCTCCAGGAGTGGCCAGAGTCTAAGAAAGGATTCGTGGTAGCTTCTTAAGGACATGAAAAGATAATTTAGAGTAATAGTAACTGAGGAGCTACCCTGTACTAGTGAAGATGGCTTTACAAAGTGGTTGCAGAAAATCTGGCAAGATTGGAAATGGGAAGAACAAAGAGATCAGTGGAAAAGAAAAAGAAAAATCCACACCATCAACAAAGCATAGGTATTTGAGTTTCAAAGTGATAGAACCATAATAAAATGAGCATATGAACATTTACTGTGCCTTAGATTAAGACCTTAAGGCCAACATAGGAAAGGTGAAATATAGAAAAAAGAGAGCAGGCAGGACAATCACAGATTACATTCAGGCCTGGGTTGAATGTTTTTGAGGGCAGTATATTTCTTGTGTGGGATTATCCAATTCAAATAAAAGAAGAGCTAAGCGTGTTGGCATGCGCCTGTAGTCCCTGCTTCTCAGGAGGCTGAGACAGGAGGATCACTTGAGGCCAAGAGTTCTATGCTGTTGTGTGCTATTGTGCTATTATTGCATGTGTGAATAGCCACTGCACTCCAGCCTGGACAGCATAGTGAGATGCCCATTACTAAAAGAAGTAATAATAGTTTTTTTTATAAAAAGAAGGAGCACAGGATTTTGTCAAACTGTGAATGCTTTTATCAGACCCCAAATTTCTGAATATCCTTTTTCTCACTAAAAGAGAATGCAAAACAAAATTTAGAGGATGATGTTAGAAAATCACATATCTGGGCCATAAAGCAAAATTAAATAAAAAAAGCATGAATGCACAGAATGCTAGTGTTATGGTTTGAATGTGTCTCTTCCAAAATTCAGGTGTTGCCAATGCGATAATGTTAAGAGGCGGGGCTTTAAGAGGTGATTAGGTCATGAGGGCTTCTCCCTCACTGGGATTGGGTGCCTTTATATAAGGGCCTGCTGTTCTGTCTTCTGCTGTGTGAGAATGCAGCAAGAAGGCCCGCAGGAGATGCTGGTGTCTTGATCTTGGACTTCCCTCCAGAACTGTGAGAAATAATTTTTTTTATTAATTATCCAGTCTCAGGTATTCTGTTATTGTAGCAGAAATGGACTAGCCAGCAAATTATACTGGCCCTACATGTAATCAAGGAAAGAGAGAGTTAAACATCAATTTAAGAAGCAGGTTAGGTTTCAAGAAACTACTGAGTCTTCTTGAAAGTGGTATAGGCAGGTGAAGGGGTGAGGGATAAAATATTACCTATTGTGTACAAAGTACCCTATTCAGGTGATGGGTACACTAAAAGCCCAGATTTCACCATTATACAATATGCCCATGTAATACAACTGCACTTGTGCCCCTAAATTTATAAAAATAATGTAGTATAGAAATAGTAGAGGTAAATTGGCCATCATATCACATCACTTTAGGAAAATAAGTAGAAATAAATGCTAATACATACTTAGTATGTTCAAAAATTGTAGAAACCCAGTGTCTTGAAAAACTCCAGTGGCACAGATCTTCACTAGTTTCTAAGAGCAACAACAAACTCAGTTGATTAACCTGGAGAAGGTTATTCTCCAGCTGAAACAAATGTGGTGATGAGTGAGACTACTTCCCTAAGAAGCAGGTTGTATACGAGAGATTCTCAATCCTAACAGCATACTGGAATCACCTGGAGAGCCTTTTAAAACTACTGCATTCACAGACATGCTTCAGAGATTCTGACTTAATTAATTTGGGATAGGGCCTAGTCATCAGTACTTTTAAAAGCTCTCCAGGTGAGCCTAATGTGCAGCCATAGTTAAGAACCACTGTTATATAAGCATCAGCAAATGATTCTCAACCCTGGAGGTATGTTAGACTCTCATAGAAAGCTGCTAAAATAAATCCAAGCTTGTACCCAAAGCCAGAGGGTGAGGTCTGGATACCAGTATTTTTGCACAGCTTCCCCCAGTAATTCTAAGTCACAGCCAGAGTGGATGAATACGGGCTCAAGCAATCCACAGCAAGAGGCATTGGAGGCAGTGATTGGTCACAGGCTAAAAAATCCCTGCAATTTATCTCTGTATTTAAATACTGAGATGCCAGAAACACAAGGCTCAAACGGAAAATGGAAATACAAAGCTTTTCAATATGGAAGAAAGTCACTTTGATTAAGACCTAGACGACTGAAAATTCTAAGACTGGAAAGTCTAACTTATGAAAAAATTCTACAAAATTTCAAATCCTATTCTTTGAGAGAAGAGACAGTTTATATGCGATTTCCCCCTAAATATAGTGCCTTTGACCCAGAAGCTAATATGAATGTTACATTTTTCTTCATTTTCTTATTTTCATATTTATTCACTGTGGCTAGTATATAGAAATACAATTGATTTGTATAATTAATAACCTTGTATAATTTATTGTATACATATTGTATAATATGTATACTTATGTATGTATACATATTATTTATGTATGTATACAATATGTAATGTATACATATTGTATAAATATCGTATACATATTATTGTATAAATAATAACCTTGTATATTTATTGTATAAATGATGACCTTGAATTCAGTGAGTATTTAGATGGATTGATTTTCAGTTGTTGACTCTATGTTCAAAATTATCTGTGCAAAATGACACTTTATTCCTTTTTCATCTATTTATCTTGACTTTTTGTATTGGCTGAGACCTCTAGCAAAAATATTGATTAGAAGTGTTGATAATATTTTTTAATAAGTTTTAATTTCTTTTCTTTTTTTTTTTTTTTTGAGATGGAATTTCGCTCTTGTTGCTCAGGCTGGAGTGCAATGGTGCGATCTCAGCTCACTGCAACCTCCGCCTCCCAGGTTAAAGCAATTCTCCTGCCTCAGCCTCCCGAGTAGCTGGGATTACAGGCACCTGCCACAACGCCCGGCTAATTTTTGTATTTTTAGTAGAGATGGGGTTTCACCATGTTGGCCAGGCTGGTCTCAAACTCCTGACCTCGTGATCCACCCACCTCAGCCTCCCAAAGTGCTGGGATTACAGGCCTGAGCCACCGCGCCTGGCCTTTTCATCCCTTCTATAAGGGCGTTCATTTATGTTTCCCCTCTTCCCTCCCCAACCTCCTCAGACAATATCACCAAGTGTTTATTAGTTCCATTCAAATTATTTTCTTATTTCTATTTTTTGTTTGTTTTGCTATTCTTTTCTTTATTTCTTGAGATGTGTAACATCACTGATATGCAATCTTTATCTTCTTCAAATATATGCATTTAATTCTATACATTCTCCTTAATGTTTCAGTATGCTACATTTGTTACACAATTAGATAGGTTTGTCAGAGTTTGAATTCCTTCCTGGAATCCCCACTTCAATCTCCTAAATGATTTTTGAAAGTTTAACTTTCTATGTTGTAAAATCTGTGTGTCTGACAAATACATAATGCCATGTATACACCATTACAGGATTATACAGAATAGTTCAGCTTCCCTAAAAAGACTCCTGTGTTTCACCTATCCAACCCTCCCCACTCCCCCAGAACCCTTGTCAGCTACTGATCTTTTTGTTTCTATTGATTTGTCTCTTTCAGAATATCATACAGTTTAAACAGTAAAGTATGTAGCCCTTTCAGACTGACTTTTTTTCACTTAACAACTTGCATTTAAGGTTTATCCATATTTTTCCATGCCTTGATAGCTTTTTTGTTTTAATCATTGAATAATATTTGATTACATGGATGCACCACGACGTTTTGTTTCTGTTCACCTATTGAAGGACAACTTGATTGCTTCCAGTTTCCAATTGTGAATAAAGCCTCTATAAAAATTTATGTACAGTTTTTATGTGTACAAAAGTTTCAAATCAGTTGGGTAAATATATATAAGCACAAAGGTTAGATCTTTTATTAAAAATAAACCGCCAAACTATTTTCTAAGGTGTGCCATTAGAAGATAGTTCCCACCATAAATGAGTGAAAGGTTCTTTTTGCTCCTGTACCTCACAAACATTTGCTTTTGTCAGTTTAAAAAAGTGTTCAGTCCTTCTAGTAGGCTAATATAGTGGTATCTCATTGTTACTTTAAGTTGTAATTCCTTCATGACAAATATTAGAAACTTTCATAATTTTCTACCATCTATATATCTTCTAGAGATTTTTTTCAGATCTTTTGCCCATTTTTTAATCGGGTTGTTTTCTTATTGGTAAGTTTTAACGGTTTTTTGAATATTTTGCATATAAATTCTTTATCAGCTATAGGATTTATAAATATTGTTTTTCTGGTCTGTGGCTTGTCTTTTCATTCACTTAAAAGTATCTTTCACAGAAAAGGGGTTTTAAATATTAACACATCAATTTTTTTCTTTCATGAACTGTTCTTTTGATATTGTGTCTAAAAACTGATGCTCAAATTCAAAGTTACCTAGATATTTTCTTATGTTCTAGAAGTTTTTTAGGTTTCCAAGTTTTATAGTTTAGCATTTAGGTTTATGGTCCAATTTGAGTTAATTTTTGCAAAAGCTATAAAGCTTGTATGTAGGATTACATTTTGCATATGGATTTCCAATTCCAGCTTCATTTGCTTAAAAACTATCCTTTCTGACCTGAATTGTCTTGGCTGCTTTATCAAGGATCAATAAATTGTAACTGTGGGTTTCCACATGTAGATTCTTTGTTCCGTTCCATTTATCTATGTTTATCCTTTCTCCAATACCATGATGTCTGGTTTACAGTTGGCTATTCAGTAAACTTGAAGTAGGGTATGTCAGTCCCCAAGTTTTGTTGTTCTTTGGTGTTGTGTTAGCTATTGTAGAAATCTCACCTTTTCACATAGACTTCAGCTCCATTTGTCAGTATCTACAAAATAGTTGCTGGGATTTTTATGGGGCTTGCATTGAATGTGTCACACATAGATGCTGTACATGCTTTGTTAGGTTTATCACAGTGTTTCAATTTTGAGGAGGGATGCTAACAATATTGGTATTGTTTTTAAACTTCAAATTCCAATTGTTTGTAACAATTGTTTGTATGTAGGAAGGTAATCAACATTTGTCTATTGGCCTTACATGCTGAAACTTTGCTATAATCTCTTATTTGTTCCAGAAGTACTTTTTTGTCAATTATTTGTGGCTTTCTATATAGACAAGTGTTAAGTTAACTGTACTTTTTTTGTACATGTTCTCTATTTGAAGAAGTTCCCCTCTTTTCCTAGTTGGCTAAGAGTGTTTATCATGAACATGTGTTTGACTTTGTCAAGTGTTTTTTTTTTCTGTGTCAAATGATTATAATTGTATAATTTTTCTTTTTTAGCTTGTTGATATGATGGATTATGTTATTTTATTTTCAAATGTTGAACTAGCCTTGCATACCTGGAATAAATCTCATTTGGTCATGCTATATAATTCTTTTCATGCTTTGTTAGATTTAATTTGCTGATGTGTTAAGAATTTTTGTATCTGTTCTTCACAAGGTGGCAGGAAGAAGTGCCAAGGGAAGAAGGAAGAGCCCCCTAAAAAATGATCAGATCTTGTCAAAACTCATTCACCGTCACGAGAGAAGCATGGAGGAAACTACCCCATGATTCAGTTACCTCCACTTGGTTTCTCTGTTCACACATGCTGATTACGGGGATTGCAATTCAAGATTAGATTTGGGTGGGAACACAAAGCCTAACTATATTAAGAAGTGATCCCTAGATATCTATTTTTTGAATGGTATTGTAGAAAATTATTATTTCTTAAATGTTTCGTGGAATTCACTGGTGAAGTCTGGGACTGCAGCTTTCTTTTTTGGAAGGTATTAATTATTCAAATTCTTTAATCAATATATACCTATTCAGATTATCTGTTTCTTCTTATGAGGAGTTTGTAGTTTTTATCTTTCAAAATATTGATTAATTTTATCAAAGTTATCAAATTTGTTGGCATACAGTCGTTCGTAGTATTCCTTGATTATCCTTCTAATACCCATGAGATGACCCTTCTTTTATTTCTGATATTGGTAATTTTTATTTTCTCTTTTTTTCTTCGTTAAAGTACCTACAGCTTTATCAATTTTATCAATCTCTTCAAAAAAGAAGCTTGAATTTTTTATTTTCTGTATTTTACTGATTTTAATTACATTAATTTCTGCTCTGTTTTTTATTTCTTCTGCTTGCTTTATGTTTAAATTGCTCTCTGTTCTCTATTTTCCTAATATGGAACTTAGATTATTAACTTTAGGTCTTTCTTCTAATATATGCATTTAATGCTGTAGATTTCCCTCTATTCATTGCTTGCTGCATTTCACAACTTTTGATAAGTTGTATTTTCATTTTCATTTAATTCAAAACCCTTTTTAATTTCTCTTGAGGCGTCTTTGACCAAAGTGGTATTTAGACATATGTTGAATCTGTATTCTTACTGACCTTTTGCCTCTTTGACTTAGTAATTACTGATAAAGGAGTGCTAGTCTCTAACTATAATAGTGGATTTATACATAAACTTAAGATTTTTTTATCTCTTCTTGTGTAATTAACCACATTATCATTATTTAATACCCTATTTATAACCAACAGTTTTCCTTGTTTGAACTCTGCCTTGTCTGAAATTTATATAATTACTCCAGCTTTCTTTCGAATAGTACTAACATGGTATATCTTTTAACTTATTCAATTGCTAAAATTTAAAGTAGGTTCTCATAGATAATATGTTTGGGTCTTGTTGGTTTCCGCCCAATTCTGACAATCTATTTTTAAATTGATTTAAGTGACTCACATATGAAGTGATTATTGATACAGTTGAATTAATATCTTTCTATTATTTTAATGTGTCCCTTAAAGTTAATATGTTGAAAACTTGATCCCCAACCTATTGGTGTTGCGAAGTAGGGCCTGTTGGGAGGTGAAGCCTAATGGGAGATGTTTGGATCCTGTGAGCACCTCTCTTATGAGTGAATTAATGCTGTTATTACAAAAGTAGATTTGTTATAGCAGGAGTAGGTCTCTTATATAATGGATGAGTTCAGTCCCCTTTTGCCCTCTGCCCTCCTGCCATAGGATGATGCAGCAGGAAGGCCCTCAGAAGATGCTGGCCCGTCAGTCTTGGGCTTTCCAGCCTCAAGAACCATGAGTCAATAAATTACAGCTCTTTATAAATTAACCAGTCTGTGTTATTTTTATAGCAACTCAAAAGGACTAAGACATATTTATTATATTTGTAACTATTTTCTATTTGTTGCTCTTCTTTTTTCTTTTCTTCCCCTTCCTTCTGCCTTTGCTACTTTTAAATGAATGTTTTATTATTTCAGTCTCTCTCCTCTCTTGCTATTCAATTATACTTTTTAAGATTTTTGAGTTGTTGCCTTAAAATTTGAAGTATAATCACAACTAATCTGGATCCACTTTTAAACAGCAATGTATCCCTTCATGTGTAATGAAGATGCTTTATACCAAGTACTTTATTTACAAGGCACTTTATGAGTTGAATTATGGAATTCAACCCAAATTTCTGCCCCAAATTTGTTAGTCTTAATCCCTTTTTCTCTTTTTAAAAAATCTTATTCCTTTTTTCCTGTGCCTTTCAGTTCAAAAAGTTACTAGTGAGTCTGCAAGCTCATTAATTTCCCCTCCCCCATCCCCATTTTGGTCATACCCAGTCTACCAATAGACTCATTGAAGGTGTTAACCCTGAAAATCTAAGACAGGTCTCAGTTAATTTTCAAAGTTTATTTTGCCAAAGTTGAGGACATGCGCCCAAGACACAGCCTCAGGAAGTCCTGATAACATGTACCCAAGGTGGTCAGAGCACATTTTGGTTTCATACATTTTAGGGAGACATGAGATATCAGTTAACATATGCAGATGAACATTGGCTTGGTGTGGAAAGGCGGGACAACTCAAAGCAGGAGGGGGCTTCCAGGTCATAGGTCTGTAAGAGACAAATGGTTGAATTCTTTTGAGTTTCTGATTAGCCTCTCCAAAGGAGGCAATCAGATATGCATTTATCTCAATGAACAGAGTGGTGACTTTGAATAGAATGGGAGGCAGGTTTATCCCAAGCAGCTCCCAGCTTGACTTTTCCCTTTAGCTTAGTGATGTTGGGGGCCCAAGATATATTCCTTTCACAATGCTCCCCTAACCTCCACCACCTTTTGTAAAATCTTTTGGAGAAAGTTTTTTAGAAGATAATGAGTCTCTGGTTTCAGGTTTTGTCTGATCTCTCATGGCTAGGATGGTTTATTCCTAGACATGTAGATCCTGAGTTATTAGGAAAGCTCATTTTTAAAAGGTTGTGAAGTCACATGTCCTGTGAAGAGAAAATAGGGGGAGCAAGGGAGGAAAACAACAAATTAAAGAACAATCCTGGAAAACTGATATAGGCCACATTACTCTGAAGTTCATACATCAGTAGGCATGTATGAAAGTGGCTTATGTACGTAAATAGGTTGCTGTTATTTTTTCTGAAGTTGTCTAGCTTCAGTTCACAGGGCGTTATGAAAACACAGCTTATTTTTCATTGACTCCAAATTTTAAAAAATGGAAAAAAATAATTGAAAACACTATTTTGGAGACTTGTAGGTAAAAAATTTAGAATCTTGTATAAACTGTAGAAAATAGTAAAAATTTAAACACATTAGGTAAGACTGAATCTAACAACAGGTATACTATAGTTTTTGAAACACAATTTTTCTCTCTCCAGTTTCCCATTCTTACTGAAGACAAACCATGGTAGGACTGGTTTGCTTTATCATACTTCGCCTAATTATGTATATACAGTGCAGCAAGAATAATTATTTTTTACATAGGCTTTTAAATTGGCGTTGATGAAACTTTGTTCCATAGAACACATCTCAGGTAAGACTGTTAAAGCCCAGCCCAGCCTTGAATTTGTACCATCAAATACCTATGAGTTGGGTGAATTTCTCTCCCCTTGAGGTTCCTAGATAAATTTGGGGCTGCTGGGCCTGTCAGAAAGTGACATTCTTTACTTACCACAGGACAGGAACTCAGTACAGGGACTGTGTAGACAAAGGTATGAGGCCAGTTTTTCCAAGGGACTTTTATTGGCTCCATAAGTCAAGTTTGATGCCTAAGAGGAAAGCACACCATTCCAGTTAAAGCCTTGGTAAAATAACCATTTTATCCAATTATATCCTGTTATAAATGAAAACAGATTCTTATTGCACTGATGCAAATAACTGTATTGTCATAACATAAGAATACAGTTTCGAAATTCTATAAAAATCAGGTAGAGAGAAACAAACATGCTCCAAATTTTGTTCATAGGAGTATACTCAATTTTTAAAAGGTGTAAATAGCTTTTAAAAACGTTTTCTTGACTCTGAGAAACAAAACAAAGAATCGGCAACATTTTAATCAAAAAGTTACAAAAATTACTTCAGACTCTTATTAGTTGAGTCCATGCAGTTAGTTGCTGTTCTGCTTGATATTCATGAACATTTCAGCTAACCATGTGTCCTAAGGTTTTTCCTCTATTCTGATGTCATAATCTCCAGAGTTATCAGAAATTTGCATTCAACAGCACCTGTTAGAGTTTTATAGCTGATTATAAAACCACCTTCTAAAGAGGTCCAAAACAAGATAACAATTGTCTGTGAATGACAAAAAGTTTTAGGGCAGTCAAAGACACAAGTGACAAGGAAATTTATTACCACTGTGGCACACAATAATTTAGCATAACAATTACAATTATTACTAATAATGTACATTAAGTCATATCATAATTATAGGTATTTCCCATAATTTTGGAACACATACCAATAACATATTTATACAAAAACAGCCCAAAGAAAAACCAAGCACCATCTTATATTTGACAATTCTTCTTGTATAATTTTTATACCAAATAAGCCAAATATGTCATTTTTGGAGTTTAGGGAACCTATTAATATCTTAAAGGATTAATTAGGTCAGAAAAATACATACTTTATAATTTGACTTTGGAAAGTTTGTCAAATATCAAATATTAAAGGTTACAAAATATTAAAGGTTATAAAAAGGATCACAGGTCATTGTAAAATGTCATTCATTTAACCAAAGTGACAACTCGATTTCAAAAAAAAGGCAAAAACCTTCATTCTCTGAGAGAGGAGACTTAATTTTCTTTCTTTTTTTTTTTTTTTTTGAGACGGAGTCTCGTTCTGTCGCCCAGGCGGGAGTGCTGTGGCGCGATCTCCGCTCACTGCAAGCTCCGCCTTCCGGGTTCATGCCATTCTCCTGCCTCAGCCTCCCGAGTAGCTGGGACTACAGGCGCCCGCCACTGCGCCTGGCTAATTTTTTGTATTTTTAGTAGAGACGGGGTTTCACCGTGGTCTCGATCTCCTGACCTCGTGATCCGCCCGCCTCGGCCTCCCAAAGTGCTGCGATTACAGGCGTGAGCCACCGCGCCCAGCCGAGGAGACTTAATTTTCTACACAATAAGCCCTAATAAAAACAGCAAGAAGCCAATTAAATTTGTTTTCTAAAATTTTATGAACAACATGAAATTTTTGTCTTTATCATAAGTTATGACTTCCATAAGCCTTGATAACCTTTAATAAGGAGTTGGTTAATGCCTCAAGAAAACCTTGTTACTCCGACACAGGGTTCCTATGCTGGTTTTGTATCAGTGTGTCTTTGACATTAGTGATTAATTTATAGAGAAACAACTTATTTTATCTCTCAAAATCAGCCCATACAATTTCACACACCTACCTCTTCTGCAATAGTCCCTAGGCCTTGAAGAGTTAAATAGCTTTAATTTCTGAACCTGTAACTCAGAAATGCAGTTTATTTTGCTTGGCATCTCCTACTGGGCCTGAAGATGAGCATTTGTTTTCAGTGTTTAAGATTTAGTAAGATTTATTGTTCTTTTTAAACCCAAAAGTCAAAGCCCTCCAACTCAATGTCACAAGGACTTTAAAAGTATATACAGGAAGATAGAAAAATGTAATAACCTTAATTTAAAAAATTTACATCTCAGTTTTTCCTAAGCAAACCAAACTTAATAATGGCATAGGAATTATTTCGATAAATGTAAAATATGTTAGGCCAGTTACCAAAAGGCAAAATAAAAGAATTTCTGGAGTGCACAGAATATTATGTTGGAAGAAAACGTTTCCTTTAGACCTTTAAGTAAACATTGTTAGCATCAGGCCACAAATAACAGAACCCAAGGAGGAAAAAGAAAAAAACTCATATGAACTAAAAATGAGTTGAAGGGGAGTGTTACTATTTCACACCTTTTAAAAGGGGAGAGAAAACCAAAACCAACAAGATGTAATAAAAGTTGAACTTTGGGTTAAACAATGTTAAAAATTTAAAATCTCTTACAATCTATTAAGAGTAAATCAAACCACTTAAGAAAATTTCATTGTTCTAATTCTTTAGTGTGTGTCTTTTTTTACATTAAACCAAATCTCCAGAGAGACAATTATAATTTCCCTTTAATCATAGACAACTTGATCATATAAAAGTTTTTGGTTTTTTTTAATAAATCCTTTTATTGTGACTTTTATAGACTGTTTATGACATGCTTGGACTTTCTGGTTTGTCCTGAACATCTATCCCTCCTTCTTAAACAAACAGTCATTTTATTCTAGGACTAAATTTACCACACAAGAGTCTTTCTTATATGAAATTATTTCTCTTTAAGCTTTCTTATCACCAAAAAACTCTTTATTTTTATAACTTTTTTTACATCTCTTTTATTTCCTGGTTCTTTTTACCTTGTTTTATATGTGACCTTTAAATAAGTTTCAAATTAGATAAAAATTGCTTGCTTTTTTTTTGAAAGGACATACTTTTTTTCTTTTGGAAATAATGTTTTCCTTCAAATGTATCTTTATTGGAAAATACCCAAATGATTAAATAGTTATTATTTAATTTAATATAACTTTAGAGTCTAAATTATGACAAGTTTATCTACAAATATTTATCCTATTGTATTTACCCAATTACTTTAATTGTTTACCTAGATTATTTATAAAAACCACAGTGACTGTCATTATTTAAAGTATGAGACAGCCATTGCTAAATTATAACTGGGACTGTGAAAAATAGTTGACCTAACTGACTCCATCTTTTAAGCTCCAAGCTGTCCTTGTTCATTCCTGGGTGTAGGCTGAACTAACTTGGGGAGAAACTTAGTTTATAGTTTAGCTTTGAAGCAAAGATGATAACTTTCCCAAAACAAACCTTACTGTTTGTGGACTAGACCACCTAGAGCCATGAGATTAAAAGTTATGGTAATCTTACTAAATTTAAAATGTAGCTATTTTTATTAAGCCAATATAAATGTCTTATTTATTAAAGATTACACAAGCAGAGATCATTCTGTCTTGGGCTGGGTCTATAGTTTTGTACCCCCTATGCCAAATTTTGACACCTTAAAGTATTTGTCAGGGTTAAGTGTGAAATTGTTTGATTAATAAATGTAAACAAAAATGTATGCTGGGAATTCTTAAGACATTTCTAATATTACTTTACTAATAATTTTAAAGCTAGCTTATTAAAGATTTTACTTAAGTTGCATAAACTTGAGCAAGAATTTGAGTAGTCTTTTTTTCCTGATGAAGTATTTGATTCAAGTGGTTTTACTAAGCCAATTAATTAGAGCTCTTTCATATATTTTCAGTAGTGAAACATTGTGTACAAAACACATAAATATATACATGTATTAGACATGCTGGTGGAAGTACATCTTATAGATTTATAAAAACCTTTTTTTCCTATCTTAGACTTTGTTCTTGATTACCTGTTTCACAACCCTAGGCAGTTGTCAGCTAAATAGCCTTAAATTTACATATTAGAGGAAACAACTCAGTTGAAAATCAAATAGATTTATATCATCAGATACAGAGAGAAAAAAGTCTGGTGGTGCTACAGTGAGATTAAAGATGGATGTCAAATCAAACATAAAATTATAGAAATCTATCATAGGATTGTATAAGGAGACCAATTTTATTTAGATAGGGACTACCTATCTTTTGACTGGATCTCTGAACTCTAGCCAGAGTCCACACTGAATCCTGAGTCTTCAAAAAGGGAGAATTATTATGAGATTAGACTATCTGATGCTGTTACAGTACGCTTAAAAAATTGTTTTTAAACAAAGACATTTTTAAGTGTCTAAACCATACTCTTCCTTAAAACCCCAAGAGTAACCTTTATTGCAATAAGTATTTTAGTCAAAAAACAAAACAGGTAACGCAATACAAAAGTAAGCAGTTTAAGATCTGAGATGAACTTGTCTGTTTACATTTTTGGGGTTCCATAAGAAAAACAGGTTTTTTCTCCTAGGGGAGTCTGGTGCCTTCTCCATTTTATTTAAGGAAGGCAGGCTATTATAAACTATTTTAGGTCGCCCATGCTGCAGAGGATACAAGAGAAAGGAGAGATAGCAGAAGTAAATGAAGAAAACAGAATTCAGTCAACAGAGAAGAAGAAAAACTTTTGCTCAAAAAAAGACAGGTCCTAGGAGAAAAACAAAAACATGAAGACATTTTAAATACAAACACATGCATATACATTTATATACATACATCTTGGGGGTTAGCTTTTAATTAAGCTGACTTTTAACCATTGAGTACATTAAAAAAAATCTTTTTAAATATCATTACCATATTTCAGCCAGGACAAATTGCTGCTATTTCAGGAGTATAGCCATTGCTCTTTCAGTTTATCCTGGCTAGCAAAAAGGTGGCTTTGTTATGTAAGTAAATCCCCTTAGTAGTTAAGACCAAAAACGTTTCCTCTTTTTTTTTTTTTTGCCTTTTTCTGGCCATTTGCCATTTCTCTCCCCCACCCCACCACCCTCTGTGTGTGTGTGTTGGGGGAATTTAGCCACTTCAGAGGCCTTCTCCATAATTTGGAACTTCCTTTGGCTTTGATCAAGTCAAATAGAGTTGATCAAACCCAATGAGAAAAAGACTAAAACAACAACGAAAACAAACAGCAACAATAAAAATCAGTTAAGCCAATGGGAACACATGGACACAGGGATGGTAATATCACATACTGGGGCCTGTCAGGCTGTGGGGAGCAAGGGGAGGGAGAGCATTAAGACAAATACCTAATGCATGTGGAGCTTAAAACCTAGATGATGGGTTGATAGGTGTAGTAAACCACCATGGCACATGTATACCTACGTAACAAAACATGTTCTGCAAATGTATCCCAGAACTTATTGGGGGAACCCCCCCCCACCCCAATATTTCAACGTAGGTTCTTTCTATTTTCCAGCCAGCTGGAAATAAAGAGAAAGAGTACAAAGAGAGGAATTTTACAGCTGGGCCTCCGGGCGTGACATCACATATCAGTAGGACTGTGATGCCCGCCTGAGTGTCAGACCAGCAAGTTTTTATTAAGGGTTTCAAAAGGGAATGGGGTATAAGAACAGGGAGTAGGTACAAAGTTCACATGCTTCAAAGGGCAAAAAGCAGAACTACAAATAAGGGTCTAACAAAGATCACATGCTTCTGAGAGAACAGGACAAAGGCAAAAAGCAGAACCACTGATAAGGGTCTATGTTCAGTGGTGTACGTATTGTCTTGATAAACATCTTAACAGAAAACAGGGTTCAAGAGCAGGGAACTGGTCTGACCACAAATTTACCAGGGCAGAGTTTTTCCCCACCCTAGTAAGCCTGAGGGTACTGCAGGAGACCAGGGCGTATCTCAGTCCTTATCTCAACTGCATAAGACAGACATTCCCAGACCGGCCGTTTATAGACCTCCCCCGAGGAAAGCATTCCTTTCCCAGGGTATTAATATTAATATCCCTTGCTAGGAAAAGAATTTAGTGATATCTCTCTTACTTGCACGTCTGTTTATAGGCTCTCTGCAAAAAGAAAAATATGGCTCTTTTTGCCCAACCCCACAGGCAATCAGACCTTATGGTTGTCTTCCCTTGTTCCCTAAAAATCACTGTTATTCTGTTCTTTTTCAAGGTGCACAGATTTCCTATTGTTCAAACACACGTTTTACAATCAATTTGCACAGTTAACACAATTATCACAGTGGTCCTGAGGTGATATACATCCTCAGCTTATGAAGATAACAGGATTAAGAGATTAAAGACAGGCATAAGAAATTATAAAAGTATCATTTGGCAACTGATAAATGTCCACGAAATCTTCACAATTTATGTTCCTTTGCCGCGGCTCCAGCCAGTCCCTCTGTTCGGGGTCCCTGACTTCCCACAACAAGAACTTAAAAAGTTTAAGAGAAAAAAAAAATCAATTAAGCAAAACACATGATCATACAACTTATATGATTACTGAGCACTCTAGTGGGAAGAGGAAATTAAGACCAGTGGATAGTTAATCTTAACTTTAGCCAAGACAAACCCCAATTCAGTTACTTACCAAGGGATGGGTCTCAGGCTGAAGATTGCTTTCTACCATCCTAGAAGCAGGCAAAAAACTCATCTTGCCTGTTTGGAAGCAAGCTTAAACTCCATAAAGGAGTTACCTGCCTTCCATTGTCATGGAAGCAGGAAAAAAACTTGCCTGCCTTGTGTTGGAAGAAAGTAAAACTCCCCGCCCTCCCCTGCAAAAAAAAGGTTGCAGAGCAAAATAAACTTTAGATCTTGACCAAATTTCGGGAGATCAAGGATTCTCTGGTGGAGGTGCTTCCAGGTCTCTGCAAATTGTTCTATTGTCCCTAAAGGTAGCTCAAGCTGGTACCAAGCACCAATAGGAGATTTGCCAAAAGTTGGGGCACCTCCATTCAGAATCCCTTCATGGTTACTAAAATGTGAACCCCCAAAATCTGAGACAGATATCAGTTAATTTAGAAAGTTTATTTTGCCAAGGTTGAGGATGTGCCCTGTGACACAGCCTCAGGAGGTCTTGTCGACATGTGCCCAAGGTGGTCAGAGCACAGTTTGGTTTTATACATTTTGGAGAGACATGAGACATCAGTCAACATATGTAAGATGAACATTGGTTCAGTCTGAAAAGGTGGGACAACTCAAAGCGGGGAGGAGCCTTCCAGGTCATAGGTAAATAAGAGACAAATGGTTGCATTCTTTTGAGTTTCTGATTAGCCTTTCCAAAGGAAGCCATCAAATATGTATTTATCTCAGTAAGAAGTGGGGTGAATTTGAATAGAATGGGGGGCAGGTTTTCCCTAAGCAGTTCCCAGCTTGACTTTTCCCTTTAGTTTAGTGATGTTGGGGGCCCAAGATATTTTCCTTTTATAAAGGTATTCTTCATTTTTGTTACAGTATTTTTTTCTCATTTCTAACATTTTCTTTTGATTCTTTCTTAGAGTTCCCATCTTTCTGTTTACATTACACATTTTTTCTTGTATAGTGCCTATTTTTCCATTGAAGTCCTTTATGTATTATTCATAGCTATTATTCGTAACTATTGCCCTCTGAAAATTCCAAAATCTGTATAAAAATCTGTATAAAAATCTGAGTCTGGTTCTAATGCTTTCTTTGCATCTTACTACATTTTGTAGTATTTTTTCTTGCTTTTTACTACATTTTTTCTATTACCACCTGGATATGATGTATCAGGCAATTGGAATTTAGGTAAAAGTCCTCTAGTGTGAGATTTTATAATAATCTGGCTATGAGCTGGGTTTTGCTTAATGTTTTCTGTACCTGTAGATACCTAAGGCTTTAAAATTCTTCTAATGTCTGAGAGTCATTTTTTTTTCTTTTTAAAATTGTGTTTTCCTATTCCTTAAGTAGAGTCTGTACTTTGCAGCTCTTTCAGCTACAATTCACTGCTATTATAATGGAACCCCTTTGATATGATGGTAAAAGTAGTAGAAGAGGATCACTTTCTAATCTTATGATTAAATCTCAATCTTTTAGTATTTCAAGTTTCAGGAATGTAATATGTTAGCTCCATCACCACCTTCATTTATGTTATATAAGAAGGTTAGAAAGAGCTGAAATTTGATAAATGCCTTCAACCTAGATTGCATAAGTCTTGGGAAAGTCATTTCCCCCGGATAGTAGACCTTTGTTATGGAGGCTACTATGGTTGTCTTTCAAATTGGTTACATTTCCTTCCTCCTGCTAGAGTCACTACAGGATTGATATTTTTCCCTGTTTGGCTCTTCACCATGAGAACCTTATAGAGTTACTAGAGGTAAAACCTATGAATAGCTGGGCACCCTAATCCCCAAAAGCTCACAGGTAGTTTCCCATTCACATGCTTATCCACTCTTCAGCACCAGTAACTTTTCACAATTACCATTTAAGTGTTTCTTCAGTTTATGGCTCCAGCAGCTTCTCTTCCAGATGTTACAAAGATTTTGACTTGGATAACACATGGTTGAGACTCTGAATCACATATAGTAATTCTTTCTATTTTCCTTTCTACATATTTTAGTATGGTGGTTGGCCTGCTACCTCAGTTCACCAATGTGTCTAAGAAAAGTAATTGATTTTTAGATTGTTCAGCTTTTTCTTCTTGTTATAAAGACAAGTGACAACTTCCAAGCTCTTCACGTGTCACATCTGAAACTGGAAGTCTATGATTCTACATTTCAAAAAAAGGACTTATTTGTGCTTTAAATAACACATGTCACCAAATATAACCAGAAATTGACAGACTGTATTTAAAGAATAGACATTAATCCTCATTAAGAACCATCTATTACAGTTCACATCTATTTCTCAGATGGTAGAAATTCCAAGAGGTTCCAAGCAAGTCTGTAGCATTGGAGAGATGCAGCATTCTAAGAGGTCCCAAGCAAGGTTTCCTCATCCATAACATTGAAATTGGAGCAGGCCCGCTGGAAGCTCTGCTCAAGTTTTCACCACATCCCTTCAACTTCTACGTTATTGGCAATCACAAAGAAACCTGAAATCATATGGTAGGCCTCTTTCTCT
Source organism: Homo sapiens (assembly GCF_000001405.40). Lineage (NCBI taxonomy): Eukaryota > Metazoa > Chordata > Mammalia > Primates > Hominidae > Homo > Homo sapiens. The sequence continues at coordinate 95,923,281 of NC_000004.12, read as the reverse complement.
TGGCTTTTCACCTCTTCTGAATCTTTGCCCACTGTTTTCTTACTGCCTGATGATGAAGACTCTCTCCTTGACCAAACGTTTAGACAGGCTCCCCTGAGCCCTCTTTTGACTAGGTCTTATGTTTGTGCCCTATATTAAATCTGCCTATGCAAGTCTTAATAAAGAATCCTGCTAAGTCAATACCCCACTCTTGATATCTGATCAAATTTGATATCTGACAAAGTTCTTCATCCCCTACCTTTGATGTGTAAGTTCTTGGCCTGGATTAATAAGCATCTGGTTAGGTCAGTTTAGCAACCATTCTCCTACCCTTGATGTCTCCTCCTAGTAATTTCCCTTAGTAATTCCCCCCAATCTGCTCATCAGCTATAAATCCTCACTTGCCTTGTTGTATTTGGAGTTGAGCTCAATGTCTCTCTGCTATTGCAGTGGTCTTACCCTTTATTGCAAGAATCTTGAGTAAAGTCATCTTTAACATTTTTGAGGAGTCAGAATTACCTTTAACACTAGTAGCTTTCCAATATGTTCAAACAGATTTCTAAAAATATATCCTGTCAATTCTTTAAAATTATTGAATGTGAGAGTATAAGTTAAAAATAACCTAAGCATCCAGGCTGGAGCACAGTGGCACAATCATAGCTCACCGCAGCCTCAAACTCCTGGGAAAAGTAATACTATTTGAGGGCATAAGAGCATATACCAAGCATTGAACTGAGTATATAACATAAAGAATCACCTTATATAATGGCCTTAAAAGAGTATCATACCTAATTACAAATGAAAAATGAAAGAGTAAAATATATATGTAATCTTCCATGATTGTGCAAATGATAAAAAGTTGAAGACTGAATTCAATCACAGATTAGTTTGGTTCCAAAGATATGTTTTAGCATTACTTTCCACAGCCTCTCCAAGCATCTTGACTTTAGGAAATTACTAGTATGAAGTTGTACATTGTGGTTCATACTAGACTTTATGTCTTATTCACTCTTCTTAGAATGGTTTGGTTCTGGGTAATGTCTACATATTTTTTCTTTCTAGACATTTTTCTCCATAGGAAAATTTTTTATGGACTGCAAGTGCCAAGCACAGATTGAAATACATTAAAATGCTAATTTTCAATCCTTGTAATTCTTTGATCCTATCAGTATTTCCATTCTACCTATTGAAAATTAGAGATTTTATAAAGTAAATAATATTCCAAAGACAACAATTGTGTGGGGGAGAGCCAGTTTTGAGCTCTAGGCATTTTACTTTGAAGTTCATACGCTTCAATATTATGTTATTGCCTTTGGTAAGTAGTCTGTTGAAGTTGTATTTTGACAGATTAATGACATGGTAATATTTTCCCTACTTATAAATTCAACCATTCATTTCAATTTATTTCCTCAGTGACTGTTAGTATATAAAAATTCTGAGTTATTTTAATCATGGCTGATCTATTTATCCATAAAATAAAAATTATTAAAATTTATTTCATTGCATTGTATACTTAGTGCTTAAGATCAGCTAAGAAGTTCTATTTCTGTTCCAATCAATAATCCCCACCCCCATCACCCCACCACTACTTCAACCTTAATCATCTTGTCCTCTTCTCAGGAATGACATTACTGATACATGTTAGTTCCATTGACAGCTGTCACCAGAACATGGAAAATCCCAACATTTCTTTCAGTTATACTACTAAAAATATGCACTACTTCACATTTATATTGTATTGCTTACAATTCTGCCCCAAACTGGGATAACCACATCTTTAATAAGGAACATGAATATTGTCATGGGGAAAACTTGTGACCATGGACTTTAAAAAGAATCAAAATGAAATGACAACACTTTTGACAATTAAAATATGTGACTGACAATAAAGTATGTTTATCAGTTTTCAGGGAATTCTAGAAATATTTTAACTTTATTCTTTATAAGTGTAAAAATTTTTAAATGTATATTTAAAAGCTTATATTTATACAATACAAATTTAAAAAAGAAACTTGTAGCAGGTGGAGGTATTGCCTTTGTAGTGATTGCTTAGTAATTTGTTTCCTCTTTATCATTGGCATCTCGTACATGTTTCTGAAAAGCTAACTAAACACTAACAAGGATTTAACTGAAACTTCCCAGAGAAGACTTCACTCTTGAAGAATATTGATAATGGCATATGAAAATGTTGACCTCTAAATGAATTATCCTTTGCACAATGTAGATTAGCACAGGTTGGACATACAGGCATATTATAAACTCAGGCAGTCACCATTCATAGTTGAGATCTGCCTACAGTAATTACTAAACATTAGAAACCTAATTAAAGGAAAAGTGGCATTGCCCCTATTCTTGAAATGTTTCAATTGTTGAGAAAATAGAGGCACATGAATTAATTTCAGGAAGAAGTAATAGGGCAACATGTACATATACAATATGGATCCCTGAGTTGCTATTGGTGCAGTTCCAGCTCTCATATAATTTAAATTATTATTATTATTATTTTTTAAGAGTTTCTTTTTTTTTTATTATACTTTAAGTTTTAGGGTACATGTGCACATTGTGCAGGTTAGTTACATATGTATACATGTGCCATGCTGGTGCGCTGCACCCACTAACTCGTCATCTAGCATTAGGTATATCTCCCAATGCTATCCCTCCACCCTCCCCCCACCCCACCACAGTCCCCAGAGTGTGATATTCCCCTTCCTGTGTCCATGTGATCTCATTGTTCAATTCCCACCTATGAGTGAGAATATGCGGTGTTTGGTTTTTTGTTCTTGCAATAGTTTACTGAGAATGATGATTTCCAATTTCATCCATGTCCCTACAAAGGACGTGAACTCATCATTTTTTATGGCTGCATAGTATTCCATGGTGTATATGTGCCACATTTTCTTAATCCAGTCTATCATTGTTGGACATTTGGGTTGGTTCCAAGTCTTTGCTATTGTGAATAATGCCGCAATAAACATACGTGTGCATGTGTCTTTATAGCAGCATGATTTATAGTCATTTGGGTATATACCCAGTAATGGGATGGCTGGGTCAAATGGTATTTCTAGTTCTAGATCCCTGAGGAATCGCCACACCGACTTCCACAATGGTTGAACTAGTTTACAGTCCCACCAACAGTGTGAAACTCTTCCTATTTCTCCACATCCTCTCCAGCACCTGTTGTTTCCTGACTTTTTAATGATTGCCATTCTAACTGGTGTGAGATGGTATCTCATTGTGGTTTTGATTTGCATTTGTCTGATGGCCAGTGATGATGAGCATTTTTTCATGTGTTTTTTGGCTGCATAAATGTCTTCTTTTGAGAAGTGTCTGTTCATGTCCTTCGCCCACTTTTTGATGGGGTTGTTTGTTTTTTTCTTGTAAATTTGTTTGAGTTCATTGTAGATTCTGGATATTAGCCCTTTGTCAGATGAGTAGGTTGCAAAAATTTTCTCCCATTTTGTAGGTTGCCTGTTCACTCTGATGGTAGTTTCTTTTGCTGTGCAGAAGCTCTTTATTTTAATTAGATCCCATTTGTCAATTTTGTCTTTGTTGCCATTGCTTTTGGTGTTTTGGACATGAAGTCCTTGCCCATGCCTATGTCCTGAATGGTAATGCCTAGGTTTTCTTTTAGGGTTTTTATGGTTTTAGGTCTAAGGTTTAAATCTTTAATCCATCTTGAATTGATTTTTGTATAAGGTGTAAGGAAGGGATCCAGTTTCAGCTTTCTACATATGGCTAGCCAGTTTTCCCAGCACCATTTATTAAATAGGGAATCCTTTCCCCATTTCTTGTTTTTCTCAGGTTTGTCAAAGATCAGACAGTTGTAGGTATGTGGCGTTATTTCTGAGGGCTCTGTTCTGTTCCGTTGATCTATATCTCTGTTTTGGTACCAGTACCATGCTGTTTTGGTTACTGTAGCCTTGTAATAAAGTTTGAAGTCAGGTAGTGTGATGCCTCCAACTTTGTTCTTTTGGCTTAGGATTGAATTGGCGATGCGGGCTCTTTTTTGGTTCCACATGAACTTTAAAGTAGTTTTTTCCAGTTCCTTGAAGAAAGTCATTGGTAGCTTGATGGGGATGGCATTGAATGTGTAAATTACCTTGGGCAGTATGGCCATTTTCACAATATCGATTCTTCCTACCCATGAGCATGGAATGTTCTTCCATTTGTTTGTATCCTCTTTTATTTCCTTGAGCAGTGGTTTGTAGTTCTCCTTGAAGAGGTCCTTCACATCCCTTGTAAGTTGGATTCCTAGGTATTTTATTCTCTTGGAAGCAATTGTGAATGGGAATTCACTCATGATTTGGCTCTCTGTTTGTCTGTTATTGGTGTATAAGAATGCTTGTGATTTTTGTACATTGATTTTGTATCCTGAGACTTTGCTGAAGTTGCTTATCAGCTTAAGGAGATTTTGGGCTGAGACGATGGGGTTTTCTAGATATACAATCATGTCATCTGCAAACAGGGACAATTTGACTTCCTCTTTTCCTAATTGAATACCCTTTATTTCCTTCTCCTGCCTAATTGCCCTGGCCAGAACTTCCAACACTATGTTGAAGAGGAGTGGTGAGAGAGGGCATCCTTGTCTTGTGCCAGTTTTCAAAGGGAATGCTTCCAGTTTTTGCCCATTCAGTATGATATTGGCTGTGGGTTTGTCATAGATAGCTCTTATTATTTTGAAATACGTCCCATCAATACCTAATTTATTGAGAGTTTTTAGCATGAAGGGTTGTTGAATTTTGTCAAAGGCTTTTTCTGCATCTATGGAGATAATCATGTGGTTTTTGTCTTTGGCTCTGTTTATATGCTGGATTACATTTATTGATTTGCGTATATTGAACCAGCCTTGCATCCCAGGGATGAAGCCCACTTGATCATGGTGGATAAGCTTTTTGATGTGCTGCTGGATTCGGTTTGCCAGTATTTTATTGAGGATTTTTGCATCAATGTTCATCAAGGATATTGGTCTAAAATTCTCTTTTTTTGTTGTGTCTCTGCCCGGCTTTGGTATCAGAATGATGCTGGCCTCATAAAATGAGTTAGGGAGGATTCCCTCTTTTTCTATTGATTGGAATAGTTTCAGAAGGAATGGTACCAGTTCCTCCTTGTACCTCTGGTAGAATTCGGCTGTGAATCCATCTGGTCCTGGACTCTTTTTAGTTGGTAAGCTATTGATTATTGCCACAATTTCAGCTCCTGTTATTGGTCTATTCAGAGATTCAACTTCTTCCTGGTTTAGTCTTGGGAGAGTGTATATGTCGAGGAATTTATCCATTTCTTCTAGATTTTCTAGTTTATTTGTGTAGAGGTGTTTGTAGTATTCTCTGATGGTAGTTTGTATTTCTGTGGGATCAGTGGTGATATCCCCTTTATCATTTTTTATTGTGTCTATTTGATTCTTCTCTTTTTTTCTTTATTAGTCTTGCTAGTGGTCTATCAATTTTGTTGATCGTTTCAAAAAACCAGCTCCTGGATTCATTAATTTTTTGAAGGGTTTTTTGTGTCTCTATTTCCTTCAGTTCTGCTCTGATTTTAGTTATTTCTTGCCTTCTGCTAGCTTTTGAATGTGTTTGCTCTTGCTTTTCTAGTTCTTTTAATTGTGATGTTAGGGTGTCAATTTTGGATATTTCCTGCTTTCTCTTGTGGGCATTTAGTGCTATAAATTTCCCTCTACACACTGCTTTGAATGTGTCCCAGAGATTCTGGTATGTCGTGTCTTTGTTCTCATTGGTTTCAAAGAACATCTTTATTTCTGCCTTCATTTTGTTATGTACCCAGTAGTCATTCAGGAGCAGGTTGTTCAATTTCCATGTAGTTGAGTGGCTTTGAGTGAGATTCTTAATCCTGAGTTCTAGTTTGATTGCACTGTGGTCTGAGAGATAGTTTGTTATAATTTCTGTTCATTTACATTTGCTGAGGAGAGCTTTACTTCCAACTATGTGGTCAATTTTGGAATAGGTGTGGTGTGGTGCTGAAAAAAATGTATATTCTGTTGATTTGGGGTGGAGAGTTCTGTAGATGTCTATTAGGTCCGCTTGGTGCAGAGCTGAGTTCAATTCCTGGGTATCCTTGTTAACTTTCTGTCTCGTTGATCTGTCTAATGTTGACAGTGGGGTGTTAAAGTCTCCCATTATTATTGTGTGGGAGTCTAAGTCTCTTTGTAGGTCACTCAGGACTTGCTTTATGAATCTGGGTGCTCCTGTATTGGGTGCATATATATTTAGGATAGTTAGCTCTTCTTGTTGAATTGATCCCTTTACCATTATGTAATGGGCTTCTTTGTCTCTTTTGATCTTTGTTGGTTTAAAGTCTGTTTTATCAGAGACTAGGATTGCAAACCCTGCCTTTTTTTGTTTTCCATTTGCTTGGTAGATCTTCCTCCATCCTTTTATTTTGAGCCTATGTGTGTCTCTGCACGTGAGATGGGTTTCCTGAATACAGCACACTGATGGGTCTTGACTCTTTATCCAATTTGCCAGTCTGTGTCTTTTAATTGGAGCATTTAGTCCATTTACATTTAAGGTTAATATTGTTATGTGTGAATTTGATCCTGTCATTATGATGTTAGCTGGTTATTTTGCTAGTTAGTTGATGCAGTTTCTTCCTAGTCTCGATGGTCTTTACATTTTGGCATGATTTTGCAGCGGCTGGTACTGGTTGTTCCTTTCCATCTTTAGCGCTTCCTTCAGGAGCTCTTTTAGGGCAGGTCTGGTGGTGACAAAATCTCTCAGCATTTGCTTGTCTGTAAAGTATTTTATTTCTCCTTCACTTATGAAGCTTAGCTTGGCTGGATATGAAATTCTGGGTTGAAAATTCTTTTCTTTAAGAATGTTGAATATTGGCCCCCACTCTCTTCTGGCTTGTAGGGTTTCTGCCGAGAAATCCGCTGTTAGTCTGATGGGCTTCCCTTTGAGGGTAACCCGACCTTTCTCTCTGGCTGCCCTTAACATTTTTTCCTTCATTTCAACTTTGGTGAATCTGACAATTATGTGTCTTGGAGTTGCTCTTCTCGAGGAGTATCTTTGTGGCGTTCTCTGTATTTCCTGAATCTGAACATTGGCCTGCCTTGCTAGATTGGGGAAGTTCTCCTGGATAATATCCTGCAGAGTGTTTTCCAACTTGGTTCCATTCTCCCCATCACTTTCAGGTACACCAATCAGACGTAGATTTGGTCTTTTCACATAGTCCCATATTTCTTGGAGGCTTTGCTCATTTCTTTTTATTCTTTTTTCTCTAAACTTCCCTTCTCACTTCATTTCATTCATTTCATCTTCCATTGCTGACACCCTTTCTTCCAGTTGATTGCCTCAGCTCCTGAGGCTTCTGCATTCTTCACGTAGTTCTCGAGCCTTGGTTTTCAGCTCCATCAGCTCCTTTAAGCACTTCTCTGTATTGGTTATTCTAGTTATACTTTCTTCTAAATTTTTTTCAAAGTTTTCAACTTCTTTGCCTTTGGTTTGAGTGTCCTCCCATAGCTCAGAGTAATTTGATCCTCTGAAGCCTTCTTCTCTCAGCTCGTCAAAGTCATTCTCCATCCAGCTTTGTTCTGTTGCTGGTGAGGAGCTGCGTTCCTTTGGAGGAGGAGAGGCGCTCTGATTTTTAGAGCTTCCAGTTTTTCTGTTCTGTTTTTTCCCCATCTTTGTGGTTTTATCTACTTTTGGTCTTTGATGATGGTGATGTACAGATGGGTTTTTGGTGTGGATGTCCTTTCTGTTTGTTAGTTTTCCTTCTAACAGACAGGACCCTCAGCTGCAGGTCTGTTGGAATACCCTGCCGTGTGAGGTGTCAGTGTGCCCCTGCTGGGGCGTGCCTCCCAGTTAGGCTGCTAGGGGGTCAGGGGTCAGGGACCCACTTGAAGAGGCAGTCTGCCGGTTCTCAGATCTGCAGCTGCGTGCTGGGACAACCACTGCTCCCTTCAAAGCTGTCAGACAGGGACATTTAAGTCTGCAGAGGTTACTGCTGTCTTTTTGTTTGTCTGTGCCCTGCCCCCAGAGGTGGAGCCTACAGAGGCAGGCAGGCCTCCTTGAGCTGTGGTGGGCTCCACCCAGTTGGAGCTTCCAGGCTGCTTTGTTTACCTAAGCAAGCCTGGGCAATGGCGGGCGCCCCTCCCCCAGCCTCGCTGCCACCTTGCAGTTTGATCTCAGACTGCTGTGCTAGCAATCAGCGAGATTCTGTGGGCGTAGGACCCTCAGAGCTAGGTGTGGGATATAATCTCGTGGTGCGCCGTTTTTTAAGCCGGTCTGAAAAGCGCAATATTCGGGTGGGAGTGACCCGATTTTCCAGGTGCGTCCGTCACCCCTTTCTTTGACTGGGAAAGGGAACTCCCTGACCCCTTGCGCTTCCCAGGTGAGGCAATGCCTCGCCCTGCTTCGGTTCGTGCACTGTGCGCGCACCCACTGGCCTGCGCCCACTATCTGGCACTCCCTAGTGAGATGAACCCGGTACCTCAGATGGAAATGCAGAAATCACTGGTCTTCTGCGTCGGTCACGCTGGGAGCTGTAGATCGGAGCTGTTCCTATTCGGCCATCTTGGCTCCTCCCCCCAATTTAAATTATTTTTAATATGTTTTAAAATAGCATGATCAGTGGGGACAAATAGGTTTCCTCTTTTATTAAAAATATTTCTTTCAGTGTAAATTTATTGCATGCAGAAATATGTTCATATGTTGAAGGAAAATGGAGTAAAATGGTTTACTGCAAAATGAGGTGTGATAATGTTACTAATACATTGCAGATAAACTTGTATCACATAAAAGCTAGTTCCCATCACAAAACTAGTTCTTATGATTATTTTCATCATAAAGGAGAGAGTGTATGGGATATGATGAGGAAATAAGGAAGGCAATTGTCATTTATTTTGCCAGGTGTCTGCCTCTGAGCTGCAAACATTCATATGTGGCCGGGCGCGGTGGCTCACGCCTGTAATCCCAGCACTTTGGGAGGCCGAGGCGGGTGGATCATGAGGTCAGGAGATCGAGACCATCCTGGCTAACAAGGTGAAACCCCGTCTCTACTAAAAATACAAAAAATTAGCCGGGCGCGGTGGCGGGCGCCTGTAGTCCCAGCTACTCAGGAGGCTGAGGCAGGAGAATGGCGTGAACCCGGGAAGTGGAGCTTGCAGTGAGCCGAGATTGCGCCACTGCAGTCCGCAGTCCGGCCTGGGCGACAGAGCGAGACTCCGTCTCAAAAAAAAAAAAAAAAAAAAAAAAAAAAAAAATTCATATGTATTATGGCATTGTATCCTCCCAACATGAACCTCTTGAAAGCAAGAACAGCATCTTAAAAAAAATTTGTATGCCTAGTGCTCTTAAGCATGATTTCCCAGTAAATGTTGGTTAAATAAATTAGCACATGAATCAGTGGAGTGAAATAATATGTAAATGAACATGCAAATAGAATAATTTTTGAAAGGTGAAAGTTTTTGGAATATGGGAACCCAAGTTCAGAATGGTAAAGTTGTATAATTTCTTACTTCGTTTTTTTCATGACGGAAAAACAACCTCCTATCATTTGTTTCCTATTTGTATCTTTTATTTTAAAAAGTATTTGATCTCGTGTATATCATGTTATTTATGTTTTATATTTTCCACTTGATTCTCAAAAGAACCCAATTTCCTCATTTAATTTAAAATATTGTGCTCAACTCTGACCATTTTTTCTATTCTGTTTCTCTTGAAATTCTTTTCATTTTTGAAATCATATTTTGAGGTTTTTTGGGGACAGGTTAATATTCAGTAGTTATTTTCCTCTGTGTTTTATTTTATTAATGTATCCTTTCATTATCCGTAATCAACTTTCATTGAAAATGCTGAGATCTTACATTCTTCTGCATTTATTGTGTTTCAATGGAAGCCATTTGCTCCAATCATGATTTTCCCCTCAAACAGATAGTAAGTTTCTCTTAATTGCTCATACATCTTCATAAATGAAGATGTATCATGATGTTCTTTCTGTCAGTTCATGCTCAGGACTCAGAAACTAAAACAATAAAACAGGAACTGAGGGCACTCAAATCACAAAGGAAAGTGGTAAACTATCCGGTTGGGACAGGCGATACAAGCAGTAGTGATTTCTCATTTCTAGTCTGTGGTGATTCCAGAATTGTGGTTGCAGTATAAAGAGAGAGAAAAATTTCATTAGTGAAATTGTAATTTATTTACTGAACAGAGGGAGGCCTTCTAACTAAAATAGATTGGAAAAGCTATGGGACACATCCAAAGTTTTATTCTGGAACAGGGAAAAACAAGACTATGTAAACTGAAAGGACAATGGAGAAAAATAAAGCAAATGACATCATGTTGTATCCAGATCACTTTTAGAAATACAGAAATTGATTAATATGAGTAGGCTATTAAGAAAGTTGGACTTTGTTGTTCTTTCACTGTTAAAATCCCATACTGGGTAGACTCACCTCTCACTGCTGATGGAGATATTTTCAAGAAACTTGCCCTTGACAAAGCTCCCTCATTTTGTCCTGTAATTCGTGTTAGAATTAGAACTAAGGCATGTATCCTACTACACTGTGATAGTTAAGTTGGCATACCGTGAGTTAAGTATTTCCTGTTTGTTTCTCATCAGGAGTCCCCCAGGATGCCCCAAGAACAACAAAAAAAGCCCTACATGCATAAGTTTCATCTCCCAGCCTTACTATACAAGCAGTAGAAGTGTATCCTTTCTTGCTGATTTTTCAAGCTATTTATTTTGTTCACATCTTATACAGAATAATTTCTGTTTCAAGTTTTTGCCTCTTTTCTTTACACAGAAAAGATAGTTCCTTCAGAGTATTCATTGTGAAAGAAGGCACCTTCTTGAATTTTATATTGTATTATAGCTTCTATTGGTTTTTTACTTTTCCTTGGGCTTAAAACTTGTGTGAAAATCTTTCTAAGTATGAAATGTTTGTTCTATACTCTATCCTACATCTATAACTTACACAATTCTTGCAACTGAACCCAGTGAACCTCTTTACTGTTACCACCATCTACCCACTCATAAACATCAGATATCTACTGGGGAAACAATCTAATTTTGGGAATACTGAAACAGAAAGATCAAGAGATACATCCCAGAGCATTTCTTACATTGCAGAAACTAGATAAAGTACAGACTAAAGAAAAGAACCGGGGGTGGTGGAAAATGGCCTGGAGGGAAATAAATAGAAACACAGTGTTCTGAAGTTTTCTCCATACTGGCATTGAGATAAAAAGCCTGGAAAATCTAGTGTCACATGAGGAGTGAGGAAAAGCTCTGGTCTTTTATATCCAGTCCAATGAGATAGTCAATAAATGCTTTTCCAGTGAATGAGTGCATGATGTTCAGTAAGAAAAGAAAATAGAGGGCATGAGAATTGTCTTTGGGAAGTTAGACAGTTGTTTTTATGAAAGAAAAAGCAGACTTTGAATAACCCAAAGGGTTACTCTTAGAGTGAAAAGAAAGAGATGAAAGAACAATGTTTGTAATCTACATATCATATATATATTCTAATATATCACATATATCATGTATTCAATATACCCATGATATGTGATATATATATATACATGAATATTGTTGCTATTTATTAAAAGGCAGTTTAAAAATACATGGAAGATGTATTATAACTCTTCCAGAGGATGAGCTAAATTTGATTTCCTAAGTTCTGCACTACAGCGAGAATAGTCTAGAGCCCGAGATATAGAACACACACATATGTATACATATACTACAAGTGTGTGTGTGTTTTCTGTGGGAGAGGATAGCTTTCTAAAAATATGAGGTCTCTAGAAGTAGAAATCATTCATTCACCAAATATGCCTCTGGTAATACAGATAATGGTCAAGGTCTGGATTTTCAATGGTGACCAATTTAATCTTGAACCCATAATGGAGAAAGTAGGAGGGTAGACAGATGCTGTACAACTGATTTCATAATAATTGGATTACAACTTAAATAATTGTGAAGGAGGACAGCATAACACTATGAATATTTTAACAGGTATCTCAGGGATTAAGGAAGTATTATCTGAAGAAGTGGTATCAGGGTTTCAAGTTTAATGAGACAAATTTTGACTAAAGCAAGGGTGGACGGAGTGATAAGTTACCAGGCAGTATGTGTAAAGGCTCTGGGCAAGAAAGAGAATGCTCAGTTTGGGGAACAAAGAAGACAAGTGTGGCAAGAAAGGTGAGACAGATGGAGCATATGGTGCCCAACATGGATTAGAGAAAAGATGTTTAGTGGTGAGTGCCAAGGAGTTGGGTGAAAGCTGACACAGTGACACCTTACCCAGAAATCCACCTTGCTTCCCTCCAGGTGAAGACAACCAGGTGGGAGGGACTCCCTGGCAAAACTCCAACTGGCTTGGGCACTAGGGTGGAGCCACAGAGGTTCTCACTGTTTGCAGAGGGGAGGAGCCTTACCCCTCCCCTTGCTGTGTGGACCCTGGGATTCAATCGGCCAGGCAGGAAGCTCATGGGCAGGAACTCTTGGCCTCGCAGAGAGTCCCTGTTCTCCCTTTTTTCTTTTTCACCCAATAAAATCCTGCTTTACTCACCCTTCAAACCATCTGCAAACCTGAATTTTCATGTCTCTGGGAGAGACAAAGACCCATCTTTAGCCGGACTAAGCAAAAGTCCTGCAACACAGGGAAGAATTCTCAGTCCATTAACCCAACTGAGTGTATGATTTACAGCCAACTCTTTAATGTTCCAAGACTATGTCTAACCAGCCACTTATTAACACTTGACCTTTCTAGCGTAGATACTATGAAACCTCTCAGAACAGGCAGGGCAAGACTGGGACCCCTTGAAGGATGGTTCTGTTGTAATGGAAAATCTTTGCAATTATATAATCTGTGAAAAATTATTCTCCCTTCTGAGAAAGACCTGTGAATCCTTCTATTACGTTTTGTATATTTCTTTTTCTTTTCTAATTGCGATGTTTCATAGTTTCAGTAGTTTCTTAAAATATTAAATAATTATGCTGATACTGGACATATTTATATTTGTCCTGACTTTTAATGTGTCTGTCTCATCCTTAAATATTGTGCTAGCCTTTTCCTTAAAACACTTAAAAATCATATTAAAGTGTATTTATTGAATTATAGCCTATTAAATGTTATATTTTAAAACAGAAATGCATGTTCAATATTTAAAACTATCTTCCTTCAATATTTAAAACTATAAGTTGGGAGATTCTCTGCTTTAGGAATTAAAAATAAAAATTCTGATGGTGTTGAGGATGGTAAGATCATAATGTAGTATGATGAATGGAGGTAGCGAGGTTATGATGATTTCAACAAGTATCTACACTTTTTTTTTACAGTATTGCTATTTGTTAAAGGACAGTTTAAAAATACATGAAAGAAGTATTCAAACTTTTCTAGATGATAAGCTAAATTTGATTTTCTAAGTTCCACACTGTAGTGAGAACAGTCTAGAGTGCAACATGGACATGTGCCTATCACCACATTGTCTCTCCCATTGGGAATCCCACAGATCCTATCTAATATCACAGGTCATACCCTTTAAAGCTAATAGCTATTATCTCTTCTCCTGCATTGTTTCCTGGCTTCCCTACCTCACCAAGATTCAGCATGTGTCCCAGTGATCATTATTTGACTTAAAAATACCTTATTGTCCAGTGGGTAAGTGGAGGACAAAGTAAGTAATACTCTCTATTAAGTTCCCTCTATCTTACTTGCCAGACACAAAGGCTGTCCAGAAGAAGGTCATGTAATCAATACATAGGCTTGGAGCTCTGTGTGAGAAATTATGCTAAAGACATATGTTGTCTTCTTGGAGCAAAATGAAAAATCAGTACTATTTGTTATGATGCCTTTGTCTGTATCACATAGATGTGATCAAATGGTCCTGTGCAGAGCCTTCTCACAGCATATGATTCCTCATAGAGCATACGATTCCTCACAGCATAGAGTTTCCTCAGCTGGAAATTCTACCAATGTGGCATAATTTGAAAGAAGGGAGAGTTATAAATTATACACCATTGTAATTAAATGTGAAATTGTCACTCATCAGGTGGCCCCATCATTCATAAAGACCTTCCCAGCTCATTGCACTGGACTTCTTAATTTGGTTCTTGTGAGGTAGTTAATTTTCTCTGTAATTGAAAGAATATCTATTGCAAGTGATTTCTAGGAGCAAGTGAACATGATGATTTGCTCAACTGGTCAGTGGGTATTAGACTCTTTTCCTTTATTAATTTACAGTGATTTCTTTACATCCTCTGAATTTCTAACTTGATTCCAGAAAACGTCATGCATTCAAAAAGTGGCCTTGCAGTTGCCTGTAATCAATCATCTTGCTGTCAGTTTTAAGGACAGAAAAAAAAAATGCTGGCAGATCAGGTGGACACAGAGGAAAATTAATCCAAGGTAACCTTAGGTTTATGACACTGAAAAGCTAGTTAAGTGGGCTGTGGACTGTGCACTGTAGTAAAACACCTTTGTGAATTGTAAAGAAAAATAAAAGCTCTCCCTGGAAATGCTTCAAAACTACCTAAAGCAAACTATTTTATATTTTCTCCTGTGGGGAAATGACTATGATCAGGTTTATAAGATGCTTAACACAGCAGAAGGAATACTGTTTGATGATGCTTTCCAAGGGTATTGACAACAGTGATGATTCTCATTTGGAACTGGACATCAATCATTTCAAACTTTCAACAAATACTTTAATCAATATGGGTTAAAATTAAGTTTCCCAGTCTTTCAAATAATTACCTGACTCTTAATGTGATGGCTCCTTCTGCTGTTATCTTAAATTTGCATAGCACCTCCCTAAGGAGCACAAGTGATTTCTAGACCATATCTCATTAATTTTTCTAAAAGCACTCCCAGGAGACAAGGCCAAGAGAAATTAGAAAAGGCTTTTTCTACCTAAAAAAAGTCCCTTCCATGGTTAAAATATCTTTCATCAATGTACAGAGACTCAGTATAACCGATGATAGCTTCTATTGTTAAGCATACAGCAATTCCTCCAAAGATATTCTTTAAGCTTACTTTTTATTTGTAACAACAACTTAAAAGAAAAGAAATCCTTTCTGAGCTATTTTTTGAAGTAACAAAAAATTGAAAGAAAGTACATTTGACACAGACTTGAAGGGCTTAGTCAGGCTACTGTGCAAGAGAACAAACTGCATAAAAGAAGTTGATGATATTTATTGTAAGTCTGAGGATGGGAGGTTCCACAGGAGTTTTCAGTGTTGAAAACACAAGTTAAGGTTCAATTTACTTATTAACGGACATGTGAAGCAACAAGGAGTCCTAAAACCATTGGACAGCCATTATGATGTAGTTAGTGTGCAAAGGTAGTAGATGCTATTAAAGGCAATCTTTCCCAACATACTGAAAAAAAATATGAAGTGCCAGCAAGTGTATTCAGCTTTTCAAATGTCAAGACTTATCTATGGGGAAGAGATGGAAGCTTGACACCCTAATGATACTCTGCCACATACCCCTCAGCAATTCTGTAAAATGAAAGGACATTTGAATCTGTCTGGGAAACAAGTTCAGAGAGCCATCAAAGTTCCAGAAATTTTATGGGATAGCTACTGGTTTCAATACAAATATAAAACTATACCCAGACTGAAGTATCATACATCACCTTCCTTGTGGAATAGCCAGTCCTCACCGGGAATACTGAGGATGACTCTGGACCACAGGAACACCATTGAGTTTGGAAGATCAAGAGGCAGACATTTACAGAACAAGATAAGAATAAGGTCAATAAGACCAACAGAAGAAGAGCCATTTGAAGTTCCTTTGGCTATATATGATTAAACAGGACTCTAAGGCAGTATTAACAAGCAGCTGAAATAAGCAGAAGACAAGCAGGCTCAGGCAGCAGCCTCTTATAGGGAGTTTCCACTATTCTTCAGCCCAGGATGACAGAAAAGGTAAGGACTGAGGCCTCAGTCAACCTGGAGGAGCAGACTTGATAGAGGGGCTGGGAGTAAGGTAGCAAGAGGGTAAACCTGTCCATAATGAGGTGAGTAGGTCTTGTCTGGGGTAATTAGTATAGGGGAACCACTGGGAGTAGTTCCCACACTAGACACAGCCAGTGACAGCTTCCCTGGCAATGAGAGAGGGAATGGGAGCAGCAGTAGTTGGAGAAGACATTTCAGTGAGGACAGCTATTCTTCACTGAAAAGTCTGCCAGCAAAATTCATCCCCAAGGGAAGCACAGGTCTTCCTACACTGAGACAGATGCCCAGCAGCATGGGACAGGCACCCAGGTCAGCAGCTTCACCAAAACCAAGAAAAACCCATGCAGAAAACAAATTTCCTCTGTCAGGATTATCCATGGGACAGTGCCCTCAAGGAAACACAAATTAGAACAATAACTCAACCGTCATAGATGTGGAAAGGACATGGAACCAAAAACTAAAAGACCTGTCTGAAAAAAAAAAAAACTACAAGCTTTTCCTACGCATAACTTCATCTTCATCCTATGACATAGATCGAAGGGGGATTTTACCACCACTTTAGATAAGGAGAGCCTCATAGAAGAGTTAATTAAACTGCTAAGGTCATTCAGTACCCTATTAGAAATCTAGTCTCCTGATATATGGGGAAAAGCGTGAGAATGCTTTTTTTTTTTTTAGATAGAGCTTTAATTTCATTTATTTAAAAGATCAAATGATACCATATATTATATTGGCTAAATGCTTACCCATTTTTCCTAAGCTTTTTAAACATCCCTGTAAACAGGTACATCGTTATTCTACATTGCTACTGCTTGTAAATTATTGTTAAATTTTATATTCATGTTTATGTTTGTACCTTTGATTAATATACTGTGGTATATGCTTTGGTTGAAATAATCTTAGCTTTTTCCCTCTCACCACTAACTTTCTCTTTGACTAACTCCCTTGCATCTACTACGGGCCATGCTATAGACTAGGCTACAAAGATGAATAAGAACAATCCTTCCTCTTTATGAATCCATTATCGAGTGGGGTAGAAAAAGATTAAAACTATAAAACAGTAGTGACAGTGCTAAAACATACATTGATGCAATGTGGTGTTGGAAAAATAGAGAAGTGACCAATTTAATTCTTATTGTTTTAGAATGTTTACACCTGTATCACTTGCACATTCTAGCCTGCAGAGTATTTTCCAAAATGATACTTTACAATCTATTCACAAGTGTTAGAGAAGTTCCTATGAAAAGTAAAATGAAGCTCAGATGTTAAATGAATCACTAACATGATAAGTAAGTAGTAGACCCAGGACACAAATCTCAGACTTCTAACTTTAGATCCTCTATCTTTCCCACTACAATGACACTTGAACCTGATGTGGAAAGAGGGATGCCCCAGATTGAAGGGAGTGGGAGTAGAGAGAATGTGTGATCAAAGCCGCTGAGTGGAGAAACGAGAAAAAGGGACAAGTCTTAATTTCCTCCTCCTATTAAGGGGACAGTATGTCCTAACGTGGGCATAGTTGTGAAGATGTAATGATACTGCAGGGCACTGCAGAGCCCTCAGAAAGACCTTAGGTGTGGAGCTACCATTCTTGTTAGAGCGTAGGAGACATAAGGCAGAGTAAGTCTGGGAATACGATTGTTAAACACTGATTCCCAGTTCATTATTGTGATCATAATCTAACATCTTAATTTCCTGTGCCTGAAATGCCTTCTGTTATCATATGATTTTTCTTTTGCAATCCATGGCATTTTATTTGTATTTCTCTTAGTGAATCCTTTTTTATAGTTAAGTCCAGTTTCTGGTCTTACTCTAATGGTGAGGTTGGCAAAAGCATTTTAATCTTTACCTTTCTAAATCCCAAATACAATGTTTAACAAATGGAAAATGCATGAACATGTTTTTTTTTTATATTAAGGTTTAGATGAAACATAATATATAAGACTTCCAGGCCTATATTTATAGTTCTAGTGCTTATTTGCAGTACTCAATATATATTTGAATGAATAAATAAATGTGCAATACCTATTTGTTGATAGATTAATGTGTTTGAAGTTCCTGAAAGTTATATTTGACAGGAAATACCTTATTTTGCATTCTGTTGTATGTGATATATATGGGGGTATTCGGCATACTTTACTTTAAAAACAAAGTAATTTATATAAAGCATATTTGCAAGTGAATGACCCCACATTTTAATGTATGTATAAGGCAGTTTTTCGAGTCAGCTGAACTCATTAGGGTGTAATCAAGAAACAGCAGTTTGTTGTTCTCTTACAAGTGTCTTCAAACATGATGTATTAGATCTCCTTTTCTTGCTATAGGCAAAATTCCAGCTGATCCGATAGACTTGTAGTGATTTTAACATCTTAGAGTCTTAAAACAGTTTCATTTTCAGGGTGTTCATAAATTTAACCTAACCTAAGTAAAAACTTTAATCTCACAGTCAAAGATTTATCCCCCTTGGCTGGGCACAGTGGTTCACGCCTATCATCCCAGAACTTTGAGAAACCAAGGCAGGCAGATCACTTGATGTCAGGAGTTTGAGATCACCCTGGGCAACATGGTGAAACCCTGTCTCTACTAAAAGTACAAAAATTAGCCAGGCATGGTGGTGCATGCCTGTAATCCCAGCTACTTGAGAGGCTGAGGCATGAGAATCATTTGAACCCAAGAGGTGGAGGCTACAGTGAGTGGTGATCACACCACTGCACTCCAGCCTGGGTGAGACTGTCTAAAAACACACACACACACACACACACACACATATTTCTTCCTGCCCTTCAGATCTGAAATAAGGAATAGCTCAATGGGCAACAGTATAGAAGCGGGTAATTGGTCTATATTTCACTCTCCATCTCTTCTGTCCTTTTCTTTGTGGTCAGGAAAAGGAGAGGAGAGACTAGGGAGGGAAAAGTTACAGGCTTGTTTACTTAGCTGGTGAGATTTTGTAGTGATTCTCGACTACAAAACATCTTATGTGGTGGAAAGTGCTCTAGAGTGTTCTTCGTGACCTTGAGGGTCAGGGAGAAGGCTCTCATTGTTCAGTTAGCTCCCTGTTGCAGGATACCCAGTCTGGTTACTTGCCAGGACTTACCAGATAGCTGATGCTTCTTTCTGCCCAGGTCCCCTAACCCAGGCAGGCAAGAGGGCCTCTTTTGCAAGGTCTTTCAGGTAATTCACAACTGTTCACCTTTGTAGCCTATTGGCTCTCCCCCACCCTTGTCCAGCCAAATGATACATAGCCTTCTCCCTTCACTGCCCTCTTTCCTCAAGCTTTTTTTTTGGCTGGCTGTCTCAGTTCACCACTTAACACATATCAAGTTCTCTCAAGAACTCTTCTACATTACATATCTTTCTGTTAACAGCGGAGTAGAGGACTAAAAATTCTTGCAGCTCAGCAAGCATTAAGTGTAGCTGTGAAATGCCACTTCCCTTCTTCATTCTTCAAGAGATTCTCTTGCACCCACCTCTCCATCCCCAGTCTCCTCCTCATCACAGACTGTCTTGGAAGTTGAGTTGGTGAAAAATTACTCTCACGAATTCCCATTAAAGAACTCTCCTCCCCAATAAACCCCAATGTCTGCTTGTGTGAGGTAAGATGGACAATGCTTTCCATATTGCATTGGTATGTCTGGGATCCCAATTAAGACTATGTACACATTTATCTCTCATTTCTCAGCTTTGTGACCTAGCTTGGAGACAACGAAGTAATGAATGATGGACCAAAAAGTTAAAGCCATCAGTTACACTGGATAGATGGATGGATGGATAGATTATTGCAGACAAAAACTGTATTTGTTTACTCAATGTTGTTGGTGATTTCCTGTGCATATGAGCGAAGTGAAAGGACTAATAATAGGTTAAGGGACAGGCAGAGCCTTCCCTGGAATAGCATAATATTTAGCAGATTGTGAGGTTTTGGCTATGAGTTTGCCAGTTTTCCTAGGCTTTCAAAGAAATGGTAACAGCTGACTTAATACCAGACCCTGACCTCAAAAATGTTTACTCGAATGTGAATAAACAAATCACCAACATCATGATGAAGTGGATGTTGGGGATTTGCTTGTCCTCTCCCTTCTAATATTTTTAAAACACTATACTTACACTGTTATCTTGATAGCGTGGAATGAATAAAAAGTATCCCTAGTAGATACTTCATTCTGAGTGAAATCATTTTTATTCATGTGGGGAAAAAACGGTTGGAAAAACTTACTAGCTACAAAATTGTCTAATTTCAAAATTGCAAAATAGAAATTGGTACAAAATGATCATATACATTTTCACTCAAACTATCATTTTCTTCCATTTTATGAGAATTATAAAATATCTTAAAGTATAATTTTAATAATGTCTCAACATTCTATTGTATGACTCTATTATAATCTGCATAAACCTTAAATTGTTGGACATTTAGTTTATCTTTTAATTTGTGGAAGTTGGTCATATGAATTGGATTGTTCTTGTCACACTCAACTAAAACAGAGTTGAGAAGCCAGGGGGAGAAAGCAGTCAGAACAAGCCTGGCAACTAAAACTGCCTGCAGTAACCTGAGACCAGTTTTCTCTAATGATTACTTTAAAGACCTGCTACCACTCTCAGACTAGTTCTGCCCACCACAGTCACTTACCATTTAGAGCTGGCCAGATCTTCAAAATCTTACTAGTGCCAATGAAATTTCTCAAAGAGCAGTACATAACAGTTATCCTTTTAATAAAATCTCTAACTTTTTTTTGTTCTTTGTAGAGCAGCACGCTTTCAGTTGTACTAAAGGCTATGCCTCTTCAATCTGCATATTGGTTTTTTTTGGTAATAGACAATAAAGTGATCCCTTTTTCCTCTACTGATATTATGATCTTTTATTCACAATTTTATATTTTAAAAGCTGTTTTAATAAACATCTTTATACAATTTTCACACACTTGGCCCATGCCTGTAATCCCAGCACTTTGAGAGGCCAAGGCAGGTGGGTCACTTGAGGTCAGGAGTTCAAGACCGGCCTGGCCAATATGGTGAAACCCCGTCCCTACTAAACAAAAATCAGCCAGGCATGGTGGTGTGCACCTGTAGTCCCAGCTACTTGAGAGGCTGAGGCAGGAGAATCGCCTGAACCTGGGAGGCAGAGGTTGCAGTGAGCTGAGAACACGCCATTGCACTCTAGCCTGGGCGTTGCAGTGAGATCTCCATCTCAAAAAAAAAAAAAAAAAAAATTTCACACACTATAATCATTTTCTTAAAACGTTGAGAAAAGGAATTTATGAGTAAATATGTGTGCCTCTTATAACAAGTTTAATGCATGTCATCCAATTATACTTCGGAAATGTACCAATTTATAACTAAGTATATGAAAGCTATAGTTCCTTAGATTCTTTCCATTTTGTCTCTATACCTTTTCCAACTAACACATGGAAAAAATGGCACTTCATTTGTCTTATTCTTTTAAGGTAAAATGTGATTTTTATATGCTTACTGGCCATTTATAATTTTAAAAATGTTCATATATTTTGTCTATTGGAATATTCATTGGTGTTTCTTTGTGTTCATATATAAACAGCTTTTTTTCTCATAAACATTGTTTTTTGTCATTTGATATTTGCTTTTGCTATGTTAAATCTTCATGTATCAATTTTATCAGGCTTTTCACTTCATGGCTTCTGCCTGTATTAAATATCAAATAATTTGTGTAAGGGGGAAGCAAGCAGAGTTAATTTATTAGAAGAGTAGGAGAAGTAAAGAGCAGCACGGTGAAAGGAAGGTATGTATGCAAACTGCTCGAGAACAAACTCAATGGATTACATATTTTCCCTTGCCTCTGAGCTTTCAAAGTCTTCTTTATTGAAATCTTACTGAAGATAATGCCCAGATATTCTTAGAATTGTTTTTAAAAGTTAAACCATAACCTAATTGTTATGAATGAGGTAATTATTTCCTAAGATGGATATATTAAGTAAATGATTGAGTTGTTTTGTTTAATTTTAAAGGTGAAAACTGTAAACAATAAAATTCTAAGGCCCTCCAATCATCTGAATGGAACCATCCTCTCGGCCAAGGGCATTCTAGAGTTAACCTGAAAATCTAGTTTAGGCTGCCATGGAAGAGGGGATTGGACATGCCTCAATATACCCCTCCAGCATTAACATCAACATAGACCTTAAGTCTCAAAAGGAGCATTTACAGTCTTTTCTCTCTGAAGCCTGATACTTGGAGGCTTTACCTACAGGATAAAACCCTGGTCTCCACAACCTCTTACAGTATCCCAGACATTCTTTTCTACTGATAACTTTTTCCACGAATTGCCAATCAGAACATTTTTAAGTCTACCTATGACCTGGAAGCACCCATCCCTGCCTTCCCACTTTGAGTTGTCTTGCCCTTCCAGATGGAACCAATGTAAATCTTACATGTACTGAATGATGTATTATATCTCCCTAAAATGTATAAAAGCAGGCTGTACCCTGACCACCTTGGGCACGTGTTGTCATGACCTCCTGAGGCTCTGTCACAGGTGCATCTTAACTTTGGCAAAATACACTTTTTAAATTGAGACTTTTCTCAGATCCTTTTTGCTTTACAAAGTAGTTATTCCTTTGATTACTTTTTATACTGTTAATAGGGATCATTTTTAGGGAATAAAATTATGAGATATTTTACTTTTTTCTTTATAAATTCATGATGCTTTACTTTTATTTTTAAATGGACATATATTCTTGTAATGAGAAAAATAAGATATATTAACTTTGAATTAGAAAAGGCTTTTACTCAAAAACTGAGATGTGTCAATAAAATTTTATTATCAAGGAAAAATGACAACGTAGTATATAATTTCTTCCCAAAATGTTATATACACAGGAATCACCTGGGAACTTGCTAAAATACAGACTCTTGTAGCGTAAATTTGAGATGAACTCTGAGTCTGGTATTTCTAACAGGCTTCCATGTGATGTTGATGCTGCTGGTCTGCAGACCACACTTTGTATAGCAAGCATATGGAGATTATTTGCTTTGGCAGCAGACAAAATTAGGCCTGTTTTTGTCGGATTTTTTTGTGTGTAGAGTGTTCGTATGAGTTTTATGTTGCTTTGTTGTTTTTTTAATCTCATAAACCTTATGACAAATAAATTAGATAGTGACTATAACTGAATACTGGGCAGTGGTAAAAATTATGTAGCCTGTGCTGTTAAAATGTGTATGGTTAACAACAACAAAAGTGTATTTATTCTTAATCTATAATTAGTCACAAGAGTCGAACTAGTTAAAACAGAATGAATTATTTACTAATTGACCAAGTAAAGTCAATAGAAAACTTCTACAAAATTAAATAACAAAATTAGGATATTGATATTTTAACTTTTACCTTTGCTTTCTTTTATGATTTGATGGATTTTGGGCTGATGATAAGTTTTAAGAAGAGTAATATTCTTTAAGTAGGAAAATTCAATTATATTTTAGAACCTGCAAGGGTAGCAGCAATAGCAAAATATGCAGTAAATGGAAATTATAACTAACATACACAATTTTGGTAACTTTATTAAGCGATAGAGTGAGGAAAACTGCAGGAACAAGAGGCCTTATGGTGAGCCCCACTGATGTTGAGAGTTGTCAACAGTTTCTGAAACAGATTATATTCCCTTGTGCTTGGCAAAGCTTCAAATGAGCAGCTAAATGTTGAGATGGATATCTGAACTAAACCTCTGAACTTTTGGAGGTTCACCTGTCATCCCTGAATGTATAATCAGATAATCTCTTTCTCTCTGCCTCCCCTCTGGCAAAATTTCCAGCATTAATTCATGCCATTTTCTCATCTTTCAGCAATTTTTCCTACTGTAGGCAAGGCAGTCACAGTCCAATCAAGAGCTCATTTCCATTGAGAGTTCAGGGACACATGACACCCTACTTTATATACTTAAAATCAAAATAGACTACCCATCACCCTCTTCCTAAAAATAAAACAATCCTGCCATTCTTCTTGTGAAAATTAACATTTCTAAGGGGTTGAGCATGGTGGGCAAAGCTTCTTGGCCTACCTCTTAACATATTATTACCATCTCCCTCTAGGGTTGTTAGGCATCCTGTTATGATTTCACAGAACTAATTCAGACTTTCTCTTCTGCTAATGGCACTCTGATTCTTCTCTTATAAATGGAAAATTAAATGAGTGACAGAGAGGCTTGAATTTGGGTTGCTTTTTCTTTTTTCTTTTCTTGCTATTTTATTTTATTATTTTATTTTTTTACCAGAGTCTCAAAAGATATGGTAATTCAGCAATTCTATCTTTGGATAAATTGCTGATATCTTTAAAGTTCAAAGTCTGCTGGCTTCCTTCTAGATTTAGGTCTTCTTGGGTACTGACACTGAGAAAATGCCTGGAGGCCTCCTCCCTCCTGATGATAATACATTCCCCAGTTGCTTGAAGCTGGCTAGCATGATTTGTATCAGATTCAGAAATCTAAAAACTCCTGTTTACCTCTGTACTAGTTGTGCTGTGTGGAAAAGAATTTAATACTGGCTTCTAAGATGGTTTGATAATTTGATTATCAAATTTATAATTTTTTTATAGTAAAGAAAATAGGCATGTAGCTCTCTTTGAGTGCATTACAGAAGGGACTATTGATACAATGACTAGTACTTGAAATTTTTGAAATGAAGATATTCAGGAGCCAAGCTATTTTAAATTGCCTTGCAACCTGGGCAACATGCTTTGCAAAGTTTTCATCGGGGCTTCTCAAGGATGGGGTCTGTGTCTCTTATTTACTGATATATCCCAGGACTGGTACTAGTATATATGACACTCAACACAAAATTTACTTTTTCTGTGAAGTAATTACATTGTAGGGTTACAAAGCTTTGAAAAATGGGTTTGTAGCGAAGTGGAGACGAGGAAAACAGCTGTAGAAGTTCTTGACTGAGACAGCTACATAAGTGATATGAAACATGAACTTCCTCATAGTAGTAGCAGGTCTAACCACAAAAGCTCTCAAAAATTGAAGTGCAGAATGAGAACACACTATTATTTAGTTGTGTTAGCAGAAGCCTTGTGATTCTAACTCTGGTTGGTTGGTTTTAATGTAACCAAGTACCCCCATTCTTTCTAGGAAAAAGGGAATGGGTTACTTTTTTTTTTTTTTTTTTTTTTTTTGAGACAGGGTCTTGCTCTGTTACCCAGGCTGGAGTGCAGTGGTGCGGTGGTGCAATCTTGGCTCACTGCTGCCTCTGCCTCCCAGGCTCAAATGATCCTCCCACCTCAGCCTTGTGAGCAGCTGGGACTACAAGCATATACCAACATGTCTGGGCTAATTTTTGTGTTTTTCTCTTAGTGGAGACAGGGTCTCACTATGTTGGCCAGGCTGGTCTTGAACTCCTTGGCTCAAGCAATCTGCCTGCCTCAGCCTCCCAAACTGCTGGGATTATAGGTGTGCACCATAGCATCTGGCTGA
The DNA here is from genome assembly GCF_000001405.40 of Homo sapiens. Taxonomy (NCBI): domain Eukaryota; kingdom Metazoa; phylum Chordata; class Mammalia; order Primates; family Hominidae; genus Homo; species Homo sapiens. The sequence goes on along the minus strand of NC_000004.12, from coordinate 95,897,947 downwards.
GTTACTATTATTATTTTTTAAAATTTTCTATTTTCTCCTTTCCCCTGTTCCCTGCCTCCTACTCAGCATTTTAGAAATGCAAATATAACCCTTTACCTCCCCTTCACCAGGCAATCCCTACAGGGCAACTATATTTAACCATGTGCTCTAAGATGGAACTCTCCTTGAGAGTTAATGGTCAAGTTACAGACCAAAGGATGCCCACCTCGGAACTCTCACCCTCCAGGGAGTAACCTTGGAACTCTCATCGCCAGGAAGCCATGTCAAAAGCATGCCCACTTGACTACTTTTACAACTTATTTCTGCCCATGGAGGTGCCAACTCAACTCCCTGGTACCAAGCTAGCATGCTGACCCACCACCTTTTCTTGCTTCCTTCCCTGCCTTATAAAAGTACCTGCTTCCTGCTCCAAAAGTGAAGCACTACATTTAAAGACAGGATGCTTGGGCCTCTTCCTCTAAGCTAGCTTCAGAATAAACCTCTTTACACCAGACCTTGATCTTGTTAATTGGACTCTGCATGCAGTGAGCAACTAACATGCTGCTCAGGTACACTGCTATGGTAAATATTTATTCCTGGCCAGGGAGAAAATGATGCCCTGATTCCAACTTGACTTTGAACACATGCTTTGCCTTAGAAGAGTGGGTAGAACCCTCTTCAAACCACATAGGTTAACAAAGGAAAGGAGTAGATTCTCTCCTCCCAATTTTTGAATGTTATTACTAGAAGCAGAATGACTACACACTGGATGTCCAGAAACATGTACACATTTATATACTCACGCAGATGTCCATGATAGTTCATTGAGTCAGGCTGGTGTTTAACCACAAGTTGTGTCCACTCAAGTAAGAAACAGTGATGTGGCTGAAGAGAAGTTGTTATATCCAGAGAAAGAATACCTAAGTACTTACTAGCTTCTAACCTAATTTGTCTAGATTTTGGTTGCTGATATGAGAAAATATCTCATCTCTCTAGAAAGTGCTCTTATTTGAGTTTATAAAAGAATTTTGCATATCTAAGGTCCAAAATTCTATAAATTTGAGTATTTGCACTTAGATTTACTGTAACAGCATTCTCCCAGATATGTTAAAAATAAATTACTGTGTTTACTATTTCAAACACTGTGTAAAACATTTTATTTGAAAAATCTTATTTTTAGAAAAACCTCATAAGAGTGTATTTATGAGGATATTTTATTTTTTAAAAATACTGCCTCAAACTGGCATAAACAATAAAGGAATTCATTATCTTAAAGAATAGGATGTATGAAGGTAGATTGTCTTCCAGTGGGCTATGAGTAGGACTCCAGCGATTTCCTTAATTCGCCTGTCTGATTCAGCTTCATCTTTAAGTTACCTACCCTCATGGGTGCAAAATAATTGCCTTCAAACATAAAGACCATATCCTTCTGTTTATTTCTAAAGGAGAGACAACTTTCCCTCTTCCCCAGCTATGAAAAATTTCCTTTTATTTTGAGTCAGATAACTTAGGTCATGTGTACACCATAAAGATCAAGAGTTTAAAGTGTCCCTGGGAGAATGCCTACTGCTGATTAGATAAAGCATAACATGAGTTTCTAAGTCAATCTCTGGATTAGACATATCAGGACCCACTCCGGCAGATGGAGATAGTCACCTTCCTTTGAGTCATTTGGTCTGACTGGGGGATATGGTGGATGCCTGAACAAAATTAGCAAGAGGGTCCTAAATGCTATGGTGCCCATGCTGTTTGTCATCAAAACTGGGATACTTTTGAAAGTGACAAATGCTAAAGCATACAGAATGCCATTATAGCAGACATGAACTGAACTTAATTATCCAATGGTTTCTACTGAGTTGAACATCAACATTTTCTACTATAGAAAGCATAATCATAGCTGGTTTAGCAATTAAGACACAATGCCTCTAATGTTCAGATGCTATACATACTCAAAATTAATAAATAGGAATTGGGGATTAAAATTCTCACAAGTATTTTCTATTCATTTCTAGTTTATCTAGTAGACCACAAAGCAGTATATTCACCTGATATTTGCAGGACTGTAGTACTTTTTATGTTTCTCACATGGATATTTTATTTTCATTTTCTGTCTTCTATGTTAATACTACTATGCCAATAAGCATAGTTATTTCTACTATCTAGTAACTTAATCCATATAGTGATGCTTTCTATTCTACAGGAGAAATGCAGTTCAATGAGAAATTAACAAAACAAGCCAAACTCAAAGTTGCTGGCATTATAAACAGCAGTGCTATGATGGGTACCAGCCTGACTTAGCTTTGCCCTTATTGGCACACTGGCCCCACATAAGTGGGTCAAATATGAACTGACAAGGTGTTATACTCTCCAAAATGTCATGCATACCAAGTGTTAACAAAGTGTTTGACTTAGAAAGCCAATTAGGAGTGAAATCATACCTCTTCCTTTAACTATTTGCAGAGACTGGGTCAGTCACATCTTTTCTCCTATGGGATATAAGAAATTATTTTCAGATCCAAAGTAGACATTTCTAATTTAGTAACCTGAACTTCTTCCTTCATGGATGTTAGCAAATCAGATTTTTAGTTGTCTTTGACATAATTACTGTCAAATTTATGCCTATGGAAAGCTATTTCCTACGAGACACAAATAGCAAAATCCCTATAGTGGAGAGAGATTTCTAAACATTTCAGTACATTTCCAATTCTGCCCTGAGTCTGAAAACCGTTATTTGAAAACACTTTAGAGTATAACAAGTATTTCTCCAAATACTCTGAATGTCTGTTAGGTCAGCTCTTTTTGACAAGCCATTGAAAACACAACAAATGTGGATGCCCCTTCCCATTGCAGCACATATGATGGATTGTAAATGAATATAGCAAAGATGGCACCTCCCCCTTGAAACTAAATACACCCCAAAGCCATATAAGTGGGATGAAATAAGTCTCTATTTTCAAACCGTCTGCCACAGTTAGTACTGCTACTAATCAGTGTCACTACTACAATTATCTCTAAAGCTTTATCTAGAATAATATGAATTTTGGAGAGACTTCTTTGTAGCCAGGAGCACAAAATTTATGTGCTCGAAGAGAGAGAGAGGGAGACAAAGAGAAAAGGGGAAGAGCACAGAGAAAGACAGGAAGAAAGGATACACAAAAGAATAGATGTTGATAAGTGAAAGCCCTACTGCTCACCACACTGCTCAGAGTCACCACAATCTTTCACCTGGATTACTATATCAGCTTCTAACAGGTTTCTGTCTGGACTCACCCTTGGTCCTCCTGACCATGATACCAGTTATAAGTGAGAATCAGACCACAACTCTGAATTTCTGAAATCCCATTTGTATTAGTCCATTCTTACACTGCTATAAAGAACTGACCGAGACTGGATAATTTATGAAGGAAAGACATTTAATTGACTCACAGTTCCACAGGTCTAGAGAGGCCTCAGGATACTTAACAATCATGGCGGAAAGGAAAACAAACACGTCCTTCATCACATGGTGGCAGGAGAGAGAAATGAGTGCCCAGCCAAGGGGGAAGCCCCTTATGAAACTTACTACCAGGAGAAAAGGATGGAGGAAATCGCCCTATGATTCAATTATTTCCACCTTGTCCCTTCCATGACACTGGGGATTATGGGAACTACAAGTTGAGATTTGGGTGGGGATACAGCCAAGCCATATCACCACTGATGCTCCCCGCATTAAACACACACTCCAATGTTGAAGTCAAGTGACTGAAATGAGGCCCTGGCCTACCTCTTTCATTTTGTCCCCTCAAGCCGTGTCCTCACTTGCTATGCTCCATATGCCTTGGTCTTTCTTCGCCCTTCGCTTATGCTGGGTACATTTGCATCCCAGGTCTTTTGCATTTGCTGATTGTTCTTTCCTTTTTCTTCTTCCAATGCTTATTCTCTAAATCTTCATGATCTTTATACTGCCCTCCTTCTCATATCCAGGTTTCAGCTTAAACGTTCGTCATTCAGAGATACCATCAGACCAAACTATAAAATAAGTCAACCAACCCATAAAAGACAGTCAACATCTCCCATGTTAATTTCCACAATACAACCCTGTTTTATCTTCTTTGTAGTACTTCTCAGTTTCTGAAATTATCTTAGTTATGCTTGTAAATTATTTTCTACTCACTAAAATGTAATCATCTTTGCTGTAAGAACCTGTTCACTGGTATACCCCAATTCCTATAATATTACCTGGTACATAAGCTTTTGTAAAATACTTCTTGACTATTGACTGACCATTTCTCAATTCCAACTGGTAATAATTATACTTAGTATTTCAGAATATACTTTACTACTTATTTTAGACATTTACATGCTTACAGATGGGCTTGTGATTTTGCATTCAATAATACAGAATTTTGTCACTTTATTTAACCAGTACATGATCTGGGTATGTACTGTATATCATATAACCATTTTCTTATTGATGAACATTAAAGTAGCTTCCAATGTTTTCTATTATAAAGAATTTATGTTGCAAATAATATCGAGAAACTATTTTGTTTCAGTCGCTATTCTAAGTTTTGGGGGCAATCAGTAAACAAAAACACCTACCTACATGGAGCTTATATTCTCCTTAAAGGAAACATAACCATTAAGCTTCATAAATATGTAAATTATACAGTATGTAAAAAGCTACCAAGTGCCATGGAAAAAATAAGGTAAAATAAGGTAAAAGGAGAGTGGAATCCCACAATTAAAATTTTGTTTACCTATTTTGTCCCTAGATTAATTCCTGTTTACACTAAAAATAGTAATAAGTGGGGGAGTCTTCAGATTTCTTAAATATTCCTGGAGAGATGAATACAAAACTTTGGAATTGTTGTTAGCAAATCTGTTTTGTTTTTATTTTTATTCTGTTTTTAGAATTTTCTTTTCCTTGGATTTATAATATTTTATTAGTCTATTTAAGATATTTGCCTTTTCTTGTATTTCTGCTGGTCTCTCAATCTGAAACAATTTTGTTTAGTTGTTTTTCCAGCTCAGAGATTTTTTTCTCTCTATTATTTTATATTATATTCCTTCTGTATGTATTTTCCAAGTAGACAACTGTTGAAAATCTTAGACAAATGTTGGAACTCCTGGCTCTATTCTTCATCTTTCCATGTTTTTCATCATTTTGTTCTTTTAGTTCATGTTCTGGAAGAAATGCTCAGTTCCATCTTCTAAGTTAGTTGTTTAATCTTCTGTCATGTATCCCCCACTCCCTGCTATTTTACCTATCTATTGAGAAATTGTTCTTCATGCAGCTGCTTTTAACTTTCAAAAGGAAGTTGTTTCTTATCAAAAGTGTTTGGTTGTGTTTTAGTTTGTTTTCTTCAGTTGAATTATTCTAAAGAAATTTTGTACAAATATTTCATGTGTTTAAAATTTTACTTTTCCTTTTTACTGTTTAGTTACTTTCCCTTGGATGTTAATTTTGTCTGTGTTTTGATTTCAATTCACCTTGAATTTGTTGAATTTTCTCAAATGTTTGATTTTATGTGATTTCTTTATAACTGGAAATGGGAAACAGGATTGAAGAGCTTTGATAGAGTATATTTTTTCACCTTAATAATGTATTTTCTCAGCCCAGCATATAATCTTTATTTCTGAGCAGTGAATACTAATTATAAAAAGCTCTTTATTCATCAGGACAGATGTAGAATTGACCCATAACCAGGAGAAAGCTCTGTCAGTAGAAACATATCCAGAAATGACAGAGATGGTGAAACTATCAATAACAAACTAAGATGTTAAACTATTATAAATACATTCAATATGCTCATGGATGAAAGGGAAAATATAACAAGAAAAGAAATTTGAGATAAAAAATAAATGCCAGATGGAACTTGTAATGATGAAAAATAAATGAATGTATTATGGATAGAATTAACTGCAACTTAGATCCCGCAGGGAAAAAATTAGACAATTTAAATATAGGGCAGAAAATCATTTAAAGTGACTCACACAGGGAACAAAGATTGAAAAGAAATGGATAAATAATCAATAATTTGAAGTGGTCTAACACACACAGAATGGTAGCTCCAGTGGAAAATACAAAAAGAGAGGTAGACTTAAAAAAATAATGGTCAGGATTTTTGGTCATTTAAGGAAAGCTCTAAAGGGATCTAAGAAACTCAAGGAACTCTAAGCTAGATAAACACATAGAAAACCACACCAAGCTAAATTTTAACTGAATGTGCTGATACCAGTAATAAAGAATTTTAAAGGCAACAAGAGATTAAAATAACATTATGCACAGAAAGAACCAAGATATGAATGACTCCATAACAGAAGACAATGGAGTGATATCTTTAGAGTGCTAACAAATAATCAACTAGCATTCTATACCCAGCAATAATAGCTTTCAAAAGTCAAAGAAAAATGTAGACATTTTAGACAAAAATCAGAGAATTTCTCACCACCAGATCTGTACTATGAAAAGTGTTAAAGGGAGTGCTTCAACAGAAAGAAAAAAAAAACGTTAAAAAATTGAATCTATGCAAATGAGCAAAGAATGCTGAGAAGAAGGATACAACATGCATGTTGTTCAGGATTGACAACACAGAAAGAAAACCCAAGTTCAATATTCCTAGAACTGGAGAATCAGTCTTTCTGGGACCCTTGCCACTATTTTGGAAAAATTTGAGTCACTTAGTTCCTGTATGGCACTGGGAAACTCACTTAACTTTCTGTGCCTCAGTTTTTCTATCTATAAAAATGGGGATAAGGATTAAACCTCCTGTATAGTTATTTCATAACATATGCTAATCACTTAGTAAATGTTAGATTTAAAAAAAAAAAAAAAGTGAAGAACCCTTGGCAGCTTATCAAAAATATTAAATTCAGTCTTGGTATAAAATCAGTCAGGCTAACCTCAGA